>NC_000024.10:56821509-57121509 GCF_000001405.40 Homo sapiens
GAATTCAACATTATTCTTGTTTCTAAAATAGTCTGGTTTGAAGTATCATGTTATTCTCTAAGAAATTTTCATTAAATTGCTATTGCATCCAAAAGTTAGCTCCTTGGAAAACAAAGCCAATGTATGCACATTCATGCTTATTTCATTTGAATGACTAATATCAACAAAATCTATGTCTCTGATTCCCAATAGTAACAAAGAGAAGTAATGAGTCATTGTGGTTTATCTGAATTCTAGTAACTCTTTCCTTCTTCCAGTAGTTTCTGGAGCAGCCAAAATCAAATCATCTTTTATGCAAATATTCTAAATGCATCTGAAGTGAGTTCAGTTATACTTAGAGTCATAATTTAAAAAATTATTTTCTTTGTACTCATGAAGGCTCCTAATATTCCTACATTTCCCGTATTCAGCAGTTCAGCTCTTTTGCCATCTTTTTCCACTTTTGCAAAAACATACATGTCAAAGAAATCATGCATAATCAGATTCCCATGTAAATAAGGTAAACAAAATCTCTAAATCACAAGACTTCTTTTCTTATTAATAACCAACCAAATATATACATATACATATGTACTATATCTATATATATATATCTATATATAGATATGTCATGATTGCCAAGAATATTGGTAGTTTTTTTTAGTACTCAAGATATACATTCTTTTACTACTTTGTTTCTAAAGCTAGTTTGAAATAATATACCATAGGGGTCTCTCAGGTATGAAATAACTACTTCAGCAAGCACAGCTTTCCTAAAGAAAAAACTTTTTCTAGATTAAGCTGCATCCCAATATGCTAACTGACGTGAACGAAGCACATATCATTGATGTGCAAAACTTCTAGGGAGTAGAAGTGAAACCCTGGGGGTCACCCTCATCCTTCTAACTTCCGCTTTCCATTAAGTGACTCCCCACAAGTCTCCTCATCAGAAGCCTCCAAATTACCTAGCTAGCTGCTTTCTTTGTTCTGCCCAGTTTGACATACACTCTTTTTCATTCATAAAGCTAATATCCATATTGGTGGACTTCATTCTTTGCCCTCCACTTTCATTTCTTCATTATTCTCACTACTACTGTATTCTGACATCTGTACAATCCCATTCTGACACATGTGAAGATAAGGTTTTGTTTTATTAAAATGTTAAATGTATCAGACACTTTACTAACGTGTACAAATTCCTTCTTCACAAAAGCAGCGCCATGGCCTTCTCTCTCCCATAGACACTTTCACAACTGTTCTTCACTCACATCGGTTTGAGTATCATCTCTCATTTTGGCTCTATGCTTTCACCTCATATCATGAGTTATTATCATAGGCTCAGCAGCCTATCTTACCTATTTTCCTCTCCAGGAGACAGTACGAGTAGTAAATTAGAATCTTCCAGGATATGAACACTTTCACGTACAAAAGACTTTGTGGAGCTATTTTATGTTTAACTACGCATAAAACCACTATGTCTATACCTTCTAGAGAAACGGGCTCTGAAATTCTATTGAACATAACCTATTTAAAAACTTCTTTAACTACAATGACACTGCCTCTCCTCAATGAACCAACATCTTCAGAAATAACTTGTGAAGACTTGAAAACATGTCAGTAATTGACATGAAAAATGAAGAATGATGTAATTTTTTGCAGGTATAAATAAGTAACGCTGAGATCCTTACTAGATCCAAGAAGAGCAGAGTGCTATGAGACAGGAAATAAATGTGGAACAGAAATATTTTCATTTGTAATGAAAATTATTCTATTTACAGTTTTCAGAAGAGAAAAAATACGCACAGATACACACACACACACACACACACACACATTCACACACAAAAACCAGAGCAATATGGCTTTACAGGGTGTTTTTTCTTCAAGGGCCTATTTGTCATTTGACATCCGGGAACACTCTGTGGGGATCAACAAAGGGGTTCTAAATTGTGACCTGAGTAGTTTAGAGTTTAACATTCATGAGGGGGAGCCAAGAGAACAAGTAACAGTTTGACCATCGGCCATTTCCTCTCCTTACTGTCATTCTCTGAAAAGCATACACTGGATTTTCTCAGGGTCATGACATGTCAAAAAGACATGCTTTAAGGGGAAACTGTTGCAATCAACACAGCCATGGGAGAGATACAGCTATGCTTGCTAGGATTTCTAATACTTCTGTTTCATTTCTAATATAGTACAAATCAATAAAACCAACCACGTAAGCATATCCATGCTGGTATGTCATCATATTTATGACCATATGGTATCAGCATGAAGAAAGCATAATTAAATATGCTGCAGTCATCACATGGCATATCATTAGATCATACAATAAATCAAATACCTCGCTGGGTCAATGTGGATAGATCTGAAATATATATCACTGATTTTGCAAAGACCAAGTTGCAGTCATTGTGTGCACTGTCTGAACTTTTCTACAAGGTTTTAATACACAAAATCAAGTTCTACAGGGTATCTATGAATGTGCACATATGTTGTAAGAGGTTTTTAATGTGTATTTGGGTGATTTTCTTTTTTAAAAAAAAAAATTTAATTCAAGTTCTTGGTTAGATGTCGTCAATAAGTTTTAGTAGTACAGAAAACCCTAAGACTATAACAGCTCAGAATGACTGTCTTAAAAGGCTATGTCTACCAAAGAGTCAGGAAAGCACGACTACTTACTTTCTTCATTTTTAAAACTCAGAGGTACCCCACTCACACTCCCAAATAAAACTGCACACAAGTTCTTTAGTTTAATTAGATCCCATTTTTCAATTTTGGCTTTTGTTGCCATTGCTTTTGGTGTTTTAGTCATGAAGTATTTGCCCATGCCTATGTCCTGAATGGTACTGCCTAGGTTTTCATCCAGGGTTTTTACACATTTAGAACTGACTTTTAAGTCTTTAATGCATCTTGAGTTAATTTTTGTATAAAGTGTAAGGAAGGGGTCCAGTTTCAGTTTCCTGCATAAGGCTAGCCAGTTTTCCCAACACCATTTATTAAATAGGGAATCCTTTCCCCATTGCTTTGTCAGGTTTGTCAAAGATCAGATGGTGTAGATGTATGGCATTATTTATGAGGCCTCTGTTCTGTTGCATTGGTCTATATATCTCTTTTGGTACCAGTACCATACTGTTTTCATTACTGTGGCCTAGTAGTATAGTTTGAAGTCAGGTAGCATGATGCCTCTAGCTTTGTTCTTTTTGCTTAGGATTGTCTTGGCTATGTGGGCTCTTTTTTTGGTTCCATATGAAATTTAAAGTAGTTTTTTCTAATTCTGTGAAGAAAGTCAATGGTAGCTTGATGGGTATAGCATTGAAACTACAAATTACTTTGGGCAGTATGGCCATTTTCAAGATATTGATTCTTCCTATCCATAAGCATGGAATGTTTTTCCATTTGTTTGTGTCCTCTTATTTCCTTGAGTGGTGGTTTGTAGTTCTCCTTAAAGAGGTCCTTCAAATCCCTTGTGAGTTGTATTCCTTGTTATTTTATTCTCTTTGTAGCAATTGTGTATGGGAGTTCACTCATGATTTAGTGCTCTATAACTGGTGTATAGGAAGGCTTGTGAATTTTGCACATTGACTTTGTATCCTGAGACTATGAGGAAGTTGCTTATCAGCTGAAGGAGATTTGGGGCTGAGACTATTTGGTTTTCTAAATATACAATCATGTCATCTGCAAACAGAGACAACTCGACTTCCTTTCTTCCTATTTGAATACCGTTTATTTCTTTCTCTTGCCGATTACCCTGGCCAGAACTTCCAATACTATGATCAGAGTGAACAGGCAACCTACAGAATGGGAGGAAATGTTTGCAATCTGTCCATCTGACAAAGGCCTAATATCTAGAATCTACAAGGAACTTTAACAAATTTACAAGAAAAGAACAATCTCATCAAAAAGTGGGCAAAGGATATGAACAGACTCTTCTCAAAAGAATACATTTATGCAGCCAGCAAACATCTGAAAAAAAGCTCATCATCACTGATCATTAGAGAAATGCAAATCAAAACCACAATGAGATACAATCTCACGTCATTTAGAATGGCAATTGTTAAAAGCTCAGGAAACAACAGATGCTGGAGCAGATGTGGAGAAATAGGAATGCTTTTACACTGTTGGTGGGAGTGTGAATTAGTTCAACCATTGCGGAAGGCAGTGTGGTGATTCCTCAAGGATCTAGAAACGGAAATACCATTTGAGCCAGTAATCCCACTACTGGGCATGTACTCGGTGTGTGTGTGTGTACATATATATATATATATATATATATGGTTCCATTGCATTCGATTCCATTACATTAGACTCCATTCCATTCAAGTTCATTCCATTCGAGTCCATTCGATTCCAGTGAATTGCATTCGAGTCCATTACATTTGATTCCATTCCGTTCCATTCCATTATATTCGATTCCATTCCATTCCAATCCATTCCATTCGATTTCATTCCATTCAATTGCATTCCATTAGATTGCATTCCATTCGATTGCATTCCATTCGAGTTCATTCCATTCGAGTTCCTTCCATTCGAGTTCATTCCATTCGAGTTCATTCCATTCCAGTCCAATCCATTCGAGTCCATTCCATTCCAGTCCTGTATTCGATTCCATTCCATTCCATTCCACTCGATTCCATTCCACTCGATTCCATTCCACTCGATTCCATTCCATTTGATTCTATTCCATTCCATTCCATTGCATTCAATTCTATTCCATTCCATTCGATTCCTTTCTTTTTGGGTTCATTCCATTCTAGTCCACTCCATTCCAGTCCACTCCAATCAAATCCATTTCATTCCATTCCAGAAGATTCCATTCCATTCAAGTCCATTCCAGTCGCTTCCAATCCATTCCATTCAAGAAGATTCCATTCCATTCAAGTCCATTCCAGTCGATTCCATTCCATTCCATTGCATTCCATTCGATTGTATTCCATTCCATTCCATTAGAATAGATTCCATTCCATTCTATTCCATTCCATTCGATTCATTTCCTTTCGAGTCCATTCCATTCGAGTCCATTCCAATCAAGTCCATTTCATTCCAGTCCATTCCATTCGATTCCCTTCCATTCGATTCTATTCCATTCGATTCTATTCCATTCGATTCTATTCCATTCAATTCTATTCCATTCGATTCCATCCCGTTTGATTGCATTCCATTCGATTGCATTCCATTCGAGTCCATCCAATTGAATCCATTCCATTTGCATCCATTCAATTCGAATCCATTCCATTCGTGTCCATTCCATTCCATTCCATTCCCTTTGAGTCCATTCCATTCGATTCCATTCCATTCCAGTCCATTCCATTCGGTTCCATTCCATTCCTTTCCATTCCATTCGATTCCATTCCATTCGATTCCATTCCATTCAATTCCATTCCATTCGAGACTGTACTATTACACTCCATTCGATTCCATTCCATTCGATTACATTCCATTCGATTCCATTCCATTGCATTCCATTCCATTCCATTAGTTTCCATTCCATTCAATTCCATTCCTTTCGTTTCAAATCCCTTCCATTCAATTCCATTCCATTCAATTCCATTTCATTCGATTCCATTCCTTTCGAGTCCATTCCATTCAAGTCCATATCATTCCAATCCATTCCCTTTGAGTCCATTCCATTCCAGTCCATTCCACTACAGTCCATTCCATCCAATTCCATTCCATTGGATTACATTCCATTCGAATGCATACCATTCGATTACATTCCATTCGAGTCCATTGAATTACACTCCATTCCATTCCATACCATTCCATTCCATTCGATTGCATTCCATTCAAGTTCATTTCATTGAATTCCATTCCATTCCGGTCGATTACATTCGAGTACAATCCACTCTATTCCATTCCATACCATTCCATTCCATTCGAGGCGATTCCTTTCAAGTCCATTGCATTGCAGTCCGTTCCATTTGATTCCATCCCATTTGATTCCATCCCATTCGAGTCCATTCCATTCAAGTCTGTTCCATTCGAGTCCGTTCCATTCGAGTCCGTACCATTCTATTCCATTGCTTTCCTTTCCTTTCCTTTCCTTTCCATTCCATTCCTTTCCATTCCATTCCATGCGAGTCCATTCCATGCGAGTCCTTTCCATTCCAGTCCATTCCATTCAATTTCGATTGCATTCCATTCCATTCTAATCCGTTCCATCCGATTGCATGCCATCCGATTGCATGCCATCCGATTTGATTCCATTCTGTTCTATTCCATTCCATTTGATTCCTCTTCCTTTCGAGTCCATTCCATTCTAGTCCATTCCATTCCAGTCCATTCCATTCGAGTCCATTCCATTCCATTCTAGTCCATTCCATTCCATTAGATTCCAGTGCATTTTATGCCATTCCACTCGATTCCATTCCATTCCATTCCATTCCAGTCCATTCGATTCCATTCCATTCAAATCAATTCCATTCCAATCCATTCCATTCCATTCTATTCCATTCCATTAAATTTGAATCCATTCCATTCCATTCCAGTCCATTCCTTTCAAGTCCATTCAATTCCATTCCGTTCGAATTCATTCCATTCCATTCCATTTGATTCCATTCCATGCCATTCCATTCAATTCAATTCCATTCGATTCCATTCCATTCAAATCAATTCCATTCCAATCCATTCCATTCCATTCTATTCCATTCCATTCCACTCTATTCCATTCCATTAAATTTGAATCCATTCCATTCCATTCCAGTCCATTCCTTTCAAGTCCATTCCATTCCATTCCGTTCGAATTCATTCCATTCCATTCCATTTGATTCCATTCCATGTCATTCCATTCAATTCAATTCCATTCGATTCCATTCCATTCAAATCAATTCCATTCCATTCTATTCCATTCCATTAAATTCGAGTCCAATGCATTCCCTTCCCTTCCATTCCTTTCCATTCCAGTCCATTCCAGTCCAGTCCATTCCATTCGGATCCATTCCATTTCATTCCATTGCTTTGAATTCCATTCCATACCATTCCAGTCCAGTCCATTACATTCGAGTCCATTCCATTCGAGTCCATTCCAATTGATTCCCTTTCATTTGATTCCATTCCATTCGTTTGCATTCCATTCGATTCCATTCAATTAGATTCCATTCCATTCGTTTCCATTCCATTCGAGTCCATTCCATTCAAGTCCATTCCATTCCAGTCCATTACCTTCGAGTCTATTCCATTCCATTCTATTCCATTCCATTCAATTCCATTCCTTTCGATTCCATTCCATTTGAGTCCATTCCATTCCTGTCCATTCCATTCCATTCAATTCCATTTCATTCCAGTCCATTCCATTCCTTTCCATTCCATTCCATTCGAGTCCATTCCATTGCATTCCATTGCATTCAATTCCATTCGATTCCATGCCATTCCAGTCCATTCCTTTTGAGTCCATTCCATTCCATTCCTTTCGAATCCATTCCATTCCATTCCATGTCATTCCATTCCATTCCATTCCATTCCATGTCATTCCATTCCATTCCATTCCCTTCGAATCCATTCCATTCCATTCCGTTTCCTTCCATTTGATTCCATAACATTTGATTCGATTCAATTCCTTTCCATTCCAATCCATTCCATTCCATTCCATTAAATTCTATTCCATTCCATTTTATTCCATTTCACTCGAGTCCATTCCATTCAAGTCCATTCCATTCCAGGCCATTTCTTTCGAGTCCATTCCATTCTATTCCATTCCATTCCATTCCTTTCGGGACCATTCCATTACTGTCCATTCCATTTGAATCCATTCCATTCCAGTCCATTACATTTGATTCCATTCCATTCGATTCCATTCCATTCGATTGCCTTCCATTCCAGTCCATTCCATTTGAGTCCATTCCGTTTCCATTCCTTTTGATTCCATTCCTTTCCATTCGAGTCCATTCCATTCCACTCGATTGCATTCCATTCGATTCCATTCCATTCGAGACCGTTCCATTCTGATCCATTCAATTCGAGTCCATTCCATTCTATTACATTTCATTAGATTCCATTTCATTTGATTCCATTCCATTCGAGTCCATTCCATTCCATTCCATTCGAATCCATTCTATTCCATTCCATTCCATAACACTCCCGTTCCACTTTACTCCACTCCACTCCATTAAATTCCATTATATCCAATTCCGTTCCACTCCATTCCACTCCTCTCCTCTCCACTGCACTCCACTGCACTCCATTCCACTCCATCCCATTCCATTCTGCTCCATTCCACTGCAATCCACTCCACCCCACTCATCTCCACTTCATTCCATTCCATTCCATCCCATTCCATTCCTCTCCATTCCAGTCCACTCTACTTCACCTCACTCCACTCCACTCTAGTCCACTCCATTCCATTCCATTCGATTCCACTGCATTCCACGCTATTCCTTTCTTTCAAAAGTATCTCACTCTGTCACCCTGCCTGCAGCACAGTGGCACAATCTCAGCTCACATTTCATTTCACCATTCCATTCCATTCCACTCCACTCTACTCCACTCCAATCCATTCCACTCCACTCCAGTCCACTCCACTCCTTTCCATTCCATCCCATTCCATTCCACTCCTTTCCACTCCACTCCACTCCATTCCATTCCACTGCATTCCATTCCACTTTACTCCAGTCCACTCCACTCCATTTCATTCCACTGCATTGCATTCCACTCTTTTCCACTCCATTCCATTTCATTCCACTCCATTCCATTCTACTCCCTTCCACTCCTCTCCACCACATTCCACTCCATTCCATTCCCTTCCATTACATTACATTCCATTGCATTCCACTCCACTCCACTCCATTCCTCTCCATTCCATTCCATTCCACTCCACTCCATTCCATGCCATTCCATTCCACTCCACTCCATTCCATTCCATTGCATTCCACTCCATTCTGCTCCACTCCACTCCACTCCACTCCCTTTCATTCCATTCCACTTCACTCCATTGCATTCCATTCCTTTCTTTCGACAGGATATCACTGTGTCACCCAGGCTGGAGTGCAGTGGCACAATCTCTGCTCACATTACATGTCAACTTTCCATTTCATTGCATTCTATTCCATTGCATTCTGCTGAATTCCATTGCATTCCATTGCATTCCATTGCATTCCATTGTATTCCATTCCATTCCGTTCCACTCCACTCCACTACATTCTATAACATCCAATTACATTCCACTCCTCTCCATTCCACTGCTCTCCCCACCACTCCATTCCACTCTATCCCATTCCATTCCACTCCATTCCACTGGACTCCGCTCCACCCCACTTCACTCCACTTCATTCCATTCCATTCTATCCCATTCCATTCCTCTCCATTCCACTCCACTCCACTTCACTCCACTCCACTCCACTCCACTCCAGTCCACTCCATTCCATTCCACTGCATTCCATTCCTTTCCTTTCTTTTGAGAGTATCTCACTCCATCACCCAGCCTGGAGAGCAGTGGCACAATCTCAGCTGACATTTCGTTTCACCATTCCATTCAATTCCAATCCATTCAGTTCCATTCCGCTCCACTCCACTCCACTGCAATCCATTCCACTCCACTCCATTCCATTCCACTCCACTCCTTTCCATTCCATTCCACTCCTTTCCTCTCCAATGCACTCTACTCCACTCCATTCCATTCCACTCCATTAGATTCCATTCCTTTCTTTTGACAGGATCTCACTCTGTCACCCAGGCTGGAGTGCATTGGCACAATCTCAGCCCACTTTTCATTTCACCATTCCATTCCATTCCATTCCACTGTACTCCACTCCAATCCACTGAATTCCAGTCCACTCCACTCCAACCTATTCCATTCCATTCAATTCCAATCCCTTCCATTGCACTCCTTTCTTTCGACAGGATCTCCCTCTCACACAGGGTGCAGCGCAGTGGCACAATCTCAGCACACATTTCTTTTCACCATTCCATTCCATTCCGTTCCATTCTGTTCCATTCCATTCATTTCCATTGCATTCCATCCCACTCCATTCCATTCCACTCCACTCCTCTCCACTCCACTCCCTTCCATTCCATGCCATTCCGTTCCTTCCTTTCCAAAGGATGTCACTCTGTCACATAGGCTGGAGTGCAGTGGCACAATCTCAGCTCACATTTCTTTCCACCATTCCATTGCATTCCATTCCATCCCATTCCATTCCTCTCTATTTCACTCCACTCGACTCCATTCCACTCCAGTCGACTCCATTCCACTAAACTCGACTCCACTCAACTCCATTCCATTCCATTCCATACCATTTCACTCCATTGCATTCCATAGCTTCTTTTCCACAGTATATCATGGTGTCACCCAGGCTGGAGTGCAGTGGCACTATCTCAGCTCATATTACATGTCAACTTTCCATTGCATTGCATTCTATTCCATTACATTCAATTGCATTCCATTCCTTTCCATTGCATTCCATTCCATTCCATTCCTTTCCATTCCATTCCACTCCGTTCGACTCCACTCCACTCCATTCCTCTACATTCCATTACATCCGATTCCATTCCACTCCATTCCACTCCTCTGCACTCCACTGCACTCCACTCCATTCCACTCCATCCCATTCCATTCCGTTCCATTCCACTGCACTCCACTCCACCCCACTCCACTCCACTTCATTCTATTCCATTCCTCTCCATTCCACGCCACTCCTCTTCACTCCACTCCTCTCCAGTTCACTCCATTCCGTTCTATTCCATTACATTACATTACACTGCATTCCATTCCATTCCATTCCTTTCTTTCGAGAGTATCTCACTCTGTCACCCAGCCTGGAGTGTAGTGGCACAATCTCAGCACACATTTCATTTCACCATTCCATTCCATTCTATTCCATCCCATTCCATTCCACTCCACTCCATTCCAGTCCATTCCATTCCACTCCTTTCCACTCCACTCCATTCCATTCCACTCCATTCCATTCCTTTGTTTTGACAGGGTCTCACTCTGTCACCCAGGCTGGTGTGCAGTGGCACAATCTCAGCTCACATTTCATTTCACCATTCCACTCCATTCCATTCCATTCCACCGCACTCCACTCCACTCCACTCAATTCCATTCCACTCCAGTCCACTCCATTCCATTCCATTCCAATCCCTTAAATTCCACTCCTTTCCTTCAAAAGGATCTCCCTGTGTCACACAGGCTGTAGCACAGTGGCACAATCTCAGCACACATTTCTTTTCACCATTTCATTCCATTCCATTCCACTCTATTCCATTCCATTCCCTTCCACTCCACTCCAGTCCTCTCCATTCCACTCCACTCCACTCCATTCCACTCCATGCCACTCCATGCCAATCCACTCCATTCCATTCCACTCTACTCCACTCCTCTCCATTCCACTCCAATCCACTCCACTCCATTCCACTCCATGCCAGTCCACTCCACTCCATTCCATTCCACTCTATTCCACTCCACTCAACTCAATTCCACTCCCCTCCACTCCACTCCATTCCACTCCATTCCACTCCCCTCCCCTCCATTGCATTCCCTTCCATTCCATTCCTTTCTTTCCACAGGATCTCACTCTGTCACAAAGGCTGGAGTGCAGTATCACAATCTCAGCTCACATTTATTTTCACCATTCCATTGCGTTCCATTCCATCCCATTCTATTCCACTATATTTCACTCCACTCCACTCCATTCCATTCCACTCCATCCCATTCCATTCGACTCCACTCCATTCCACTCCATTGCACTCCACTCCACTCCATTCCATTCCACTCTACTTCTCTCCACTCCACTCCCTTCCATGCCATTCCATTCCACTCCACTCCTTTCCATTCCATTCCACTCCACTCCATTCCACTCCACTCCATTCCATTCCACTCCATTCCATGCCATTCCATTCCACTCCACTCCATTCCACTCTACTCCATTCCACTCCACTCCACTCCATTCCTTTATTTCTACTGGATCTCACTCTATCAACCAGACTGGAGTTCAGTGGCACAATCTTAGATCACATTTCATTTCACCATTCCATTCCATTCAATTCCATTCCATAACCCTCCGTTCCACTCCACTCCACTCCACTAAATTCCTTTACATCCGATTCCATTCCACTCCATTCCACTCCTCTCCTCTCCACTGCACTTCACTCCATTCCACTCCATCCCATTCCACTCCATTCCACTGCAATCCACTCCACCCCACTCATCTCCACTTCATTCCATTCCATTCCATCCTATTCCATTCCTCTCCATTCCAGTCCACTCCACTTCACCCCACTCCACTCCATTCCATGCCATTCCATTCCACTGCATTCCATTCTATTCCTTTCTTTTGAAAGTATCTCACTCTGTCACCCAGCCTGGAGCGCAGTGGCACAATCTCAGCTCACATTTCATTTCACCATTCCATTCCATTCCATCCCACTCCACTCCACTCCACTCCAATCCATTCCACTCCATTCCACTCCACGCCATTCCAGTCCACTCCACTCCTTTCCATTCCATCCCATTCCATTCCACTCCTTTCCACTCCACTCCACTCCATTCCATTCCTTTCTTTTGACAGGATCTCACTCTGTCACCCAGGCTGGTGTGCAGTGGTACAGTCTCATCTCACATTTCACTTCACCATTCCATTCCATTCCATTCTATTCCACAGCACTCCACTCCACTCAATTCGACTCCACTCCACTCCAATCCATTCCATTCCAATCCCTTCCATTTCACTCCTTTCTTTCGACAGGATCTCCCTCTGTCACACAGGTTTAGTGCAGTGACACAATCTCAGCACACATTTCTTTTCACCATTTCATTCCATTCCATTCCGTTCCATTCCATTCCATTCCATTACACTCCATTCCATTCCACTGCATTCCATTCCACTCTACTCCAGTCCACTCCACTCCATTTCATTCCACCACATTCCATTCCACTCTTTTCCACTCCATTCCACTCTATTCCATTCCATTCCACTCCTCTCCACTCCACTCCATTCCATTTCATTCCATTCCACTCCATTCCATTCCCTTCCATTCCATTCCCTTCCATTACATTCCATTCGATTGCATTCCACTCCACTCCACTCCATTCCTCTCCATTCCATTCCACTCCACTCCATTCCATACCATTCCATTCCACTCCATTCCATTCCACTCCACTCCATTCCATTGCATTCCACTCCACTCCACTCCACTCCATTCCATTCCATTTCACTCCATTGCATTCCATTCCTTTCTTTTGACAGGATATCACTGTGTCACCCAGGCTGGAGTGCAGTGGCACAATCTCTGCTCACATTACATGTCAACTTTCCTTTTCACTGCATTCTATTCCATTGCATTCCATTGCTTTCCATTGCATTCCATTCCATTCCATTCCACTCCACTCTACTCCACTCCATTCCATACCATTCCGTTCCTTTCTTTCCAAAGGATCTCACTCTGTCACAGAGGCTGGAGTGCAGTGGCACAATCTCAGGTCACATTACATGTCAACTTTCCATTTCTTTGCATTCAATTGCATTCCATTCCTTTCCATTACATTCCATCACACTCCGACTCCGACTCCACTCCACTCCTCTACATTCCATTACATCCTATTCCATTCCACTCTATTCCACTCCTCTCCACTCCACTGCACTCCACTCCACTCCATTCCACTCCATCCCATTCCATTCCTCTCCATTCGGCTGCACTCCACTCCACCCCACTCCACTTCATTGCATTCCATTCCATCTCATTCCATTCATCTCCATTCCACTCCACTCCACTTCACTCCACTCCACTCCTCTGCAGTCCACTCCATTCCATTACACTGCATTCCATTCCATTCCTTTCTTTCAAGAGTATCTCACTCTGTCACCCAGCCTGGAGCGTAGTGGCACAATCTCAGCTCACATTATATTTCCCCATTCAATTCCATTCTATTCCATTCTATTCCACTCCACTCCACTCCAGTACATTCCACTCCACTCCACTCCAGTACATTCCACTCCACTCCACTCCTTTCCAGTCCATTCCAGTCCTTCCCATTCCATCCCATTGCATTCCACTCCTTTCCACTCCACTTCCCTCCACTCCAATCCATTCCATTCCACTCCATTCCATTACATTCCTTTCTTTTGACAGGATCCCACTCTGTCACTCAGGCTGGTGTGCAGTGGCACAATCTCAGCTCACATATCATTTCATCATTCCACTCCATTCCATTCCATTCCACTGCACTCCACTCCACTCAATTCCACTCCACTCTACTCCAATCCATTCCATTCCATTCCAATCCCTTCCATTCCACTCCTTTCTTTTGACAGGATCTCCCTGTGTCACACATTTCTTTTCACCATTTCATTCCATTCCATTCCACTGCATTCCATTCCATTCCCTTCGACTCCACTCCACTCCTCTCCATTTCCACTCCAGTCCACTCCCACTCCATTCCAATCCGTGCCACTCCATTCCACTCCACTCCATTCCATTCCACTCTACTCCACTCCACTCAATTCCACTCCACTCAATTCCACTCCACTCCACTGCATTCCATTGCACTCCATTCCATTCCGTTCCATTCCTTTCTTTCCACAGGATCTCACTCGGTCACAAAGGCTGGAGTGCAGTGGCACAATCTCAGCTGACATTTCTTTTCACCATTCCATTGCATTCCATTCCATCCCATTCCATTCCACTGTATTTCACTCCACTCCACTCCACTCCGTTCCACTCCATGCCATTCCATTCCACTCCACTCCACTCCATTGCTTTCCATTCCTTTCCTTCGACAGGATATCTCTGTGTCACCCTGGCTGGAGTGCAGTGGCACAATCTCAGCTCACATTACATGTCATCTTTCCATTGCGTTGCATTCTATTCCATTGCATTCCATTCCATTCCATTCCTTTCCATTCTGTTCCATTCCATTCAATTCTCTTCCATTCCACTCTGTTCCACTCCACTCCCCTCCACTGCACTACATTCCATTACATCCGATTCCATTACACTCCATTCCAGTCCTCTCCACTCCAGTGCACTCCACTCCACTCCATTCCACTCCATCCCGTTCCATTCCGCTCCATCCCACTGCACTCCACTCCACCCCTCTCCACTCCTCTTCCTTCATTCCATTCCATTCCACCTTTTTCCATTCCTCTTGATTGCACTCCAATCCACTTCACTCCACTCCACTCCAATCCATTCCATTCCATTCCACTGCATTCAATTCCATTCCTTTCTTTAGAGAGTATCTCACTCTGTCACCAAGCCTGGAGTGCAGTGGCACAATCTCAGCTCACATTTCATTTCACCATTCCATTGCATTCTACTCCATTAAATTCCACTCCACTCCACTCCAATCCATTCCACTCCACTCCACTCCATTCCAGTCCACTCCAGTCCTTTCCATTCCATCCCATTCCATTCCACTCCTTTCTACTCCACTCCACTGCTCTCAACTCCATTACATTCCATTCCACTCCATTCCATTCCAGTACTTTCTTTTGACTGTATCTCACTCTGTCACCCAGGCTGGTGTGCAGTGGCACAATCTCAGCTCACATTTCATTTCACCATTCCATTCCATTCCATTCCACTGCACTGCACTCCACTCAATTCCACTCCACTCTACTCCAATCCGTTCCATTCCATTTCAATCCCTTCCATTCCACTCCTTTCTTTCGACAGGGTCTCCCTCTGTCACACAGGCTGTAGTGCAGGTGATGAGACTATTTTATAGTCTCTGTGTATGGGGGCATTTTGACCTATCTCTGCACTGATCACCCAAGTGATGTAACACTTGACTATGCTCTGCCTATTGGGGCATAGTGACATATCACTGCATTGATCACTCAGATGTTGTAGCTCTTGCCTAGGCTCTGCCTACATGGGCATTGTGACACATCTCTGAACTGATCAACCAAGTGATGTAACCCTTGTCTAGGCTCTGCCTACAGGAGCTTTGTGACATATCTCTGCACTGATCACCCAGGTGATGGGACTTTTGTCTAGGCTCTGCCTACAGTGGCATTGTGACATATCTCTACAGTAATCAACCAGGTGATGTAACTCTTGTCTAGGCTCTGCCTACAGGGGGCTTTGTGGTATAACTCTGCACTGATCACCCAGGTGATGGGACTCTTCTCTAGGTTCTGCCTATTGGGGGCATTGTCACATATTTCTGCACTGATCACCCAGGTGACGGACTCTTGTCTTGGATCTGCCTATGGAGGCAATGCGACATATCTCTGAACTAATCACCCAGGTGATGTAACTCTTGTTTAGGCTCTGGCCACAGGGACATAGTGACATATATCTGCACTGATCACACAGGTAATGTAACTCTTCTCTAGTCTCTGCCTACAGAGGGCGTTGTGACATCACTCTGCAATGATCACCCAGGTGATGTAACCATTGTCTAGGCTCTACCTACATGGACATTGTAACATGTCTCTGCACTGATCACCCAGGTGATGTAAATTTTGTCTAGGCTCTGCTCACAGGGGCATTTTGACATATCTCTGCACTGATCACCGACATGATGTAACTCTTCTCTGGGCTTTGCCGACAGGACTAATTGAGACATATCTCTGCACTGATCACCGAGGTGATGCAACTCTTGTCTGGGCTCTCCTTACAGGGCGCATTGTGACATATCTGCCCTGATCACCCAGGTGATATAACTCATTTCTAGGTTCTGCCTACAGGGGCGTTATGACATATCTCTGAAGTGATCACCGAGGTGATGTAACTCCTGTCTAGGCATTGCTTACAGGGTGCATTGTAACATATCTCTGCACTGATCACCCAGGTGATGTAACCCTTGTCTAGGATCTGACTAAAGGTTGCTTTGTCACATAACTTTGCACTGATCATCCATGTGATGGGGCTTTTGTCCAGGCTCTGCCTATGAGGGCATTGTGACGTATTTCTGCACTGATCATCCAGGTGACAGACTCTTGTCTTGCATCTGCCTCTGGGGGCACTGTGAAATATCTCTGCACTGATCACCCAGGTGATGTAACTGTTATATAAGCTCTGCCTACAGGGGAATTGTGAGAGATCTCTCCACGGATCACCCAAGTGATGTAACAATTGTCTAGGCTTTGCCTACAGGGGGTTTTGTGACATATCTTTGCACTGATCACCCAGGTGATGTAACTCATCTAAGCTCTGCCTACAGGGGCCTTGTGACATATCTCTGCACTGATCACCCCGGGGAGAGAATTCTTGTCTAGGCTCTGCCTACAAGGGGCTTTTTGACATATCTCTGCACTGATCACCTAGGTGATGTAACTCTGATCTACCCTCTTCCTACAGGGGGCATTGTGAAGTATGTCTGCACTGATCACCCAGTTGATGCAACTCTTGTCTAGGATCTGCTGACAGGAGGTATTGTAAAATATCTCTGCACTGATCACCTGGGTGATGTAACTCGTCTACCCTCTGCCTACAGGGGGTATTGTGAAATATCTCTGCACTGATCAACTAGGTGATGTAACTCTTGTCTAGGCTCTGCCTACAGGGGCGTTTTGACATATCTCTGAACTGATGACAAAAGTGATGTAACTCTTGCCTAGGCTTTGCCTACAGGGGACATTGTGACATATCTCTGCACTGATCACCCAGGTGATGCAACTCTTCTCTATGCTCTGCCTACAAACGGCATTGTGACATATCTCTGCACTGATCACCCAGGTGAAGTAACTTTTCCAGTCTCTGCCTACAGAGGGCGTTGTGACATCATTCTACACGGATCACCAGGGTTATGTAAGTCTTGTCTAGGCTCTGCCTATGGGAGCACTGTGACGTATCTCTGCACTGATCATCTAGGAGATGTGACTCTTGTCTAAGCTCTGCCTACAGGGGCATTGGGACATATCTCTGCACTGATCACTGAGATGATGTAACACTTGTCAAGGCTTTGCCTACAGTGAGATTTATGACATATCTCTGCACTGATCACCCAGTTGATGTAACTCTTGTCTAGGCTCAGCTTACAGGGGGTATTGTGAGATATCTCTGCACTGATCACCCAGGTGATGTAACTCTTGTTAGGCTCTGCCTACAGGGGCATTTTAACATATCACTGCACTGATCACCGAGATGATGTAACTTGTACAGGCTTCGCTGACAGAGGTCTTTGAGACATATCACTTCACTGATCACCGAGGTGATGCAACTCTTGTCTGGGATCTGCCTACAGGGGGCATTGTGACATATCTCTGCATTGATCACCGAGGTGATGTAACTCTTGTCTAGGCTCTGCCTGCTGGAGACATTGTGACATATCTCTGCACTGATCACCCAGGTGATGTAACTCTTGTCTAGGCTCTGCCTACATGGACATTGTGACATGTCTCTGCACTGATCACCCAGGTGATGTAAATTTTTTCTAGGCTCTGCCCTCAGGGGCATTTTGACATATCTCTGCACTGATGACCTAGATGATGTAATTCTTTTCTGGGCTTTGCCGACAGGAGACATTGAGACATATCTCTGCACTGAACACGGAGGTGATGCAACTCTTGTGTGGGCTCTGCCTACAGGGGGCATTGTGACATATCTCTGCCCTGATCACCCAGGTGATGTAACTCTTGTCTAGGCTCTGCCTAAAGGGGGTATTGTGACATATCTCTGCACTGATCACATAGGTGATGTAACTTTTTCTAGGCTCTGCCTACAGGGGCGTTTTGACATATCTCTGAAGTGATCACCGAGGTTATGTAACTCTTGTCTAGGCTTTGCCTACAGGGGGCATTGTAATATATCTCTGCACTGATCACCCAGGTGGTGCAACTCTTCTCTAGGCTCTTCTTACAGGGGGCATTGTGACATATCTCTGCACTGATCACGCAGGTGACTTAACTCTTCTCTAGGCTCTGCCTACAAGGTGCTTCGTGACATCACTCTGTATTGATCATCAAGGTGATGTAACTTTTGTCTAGGCTCTGCCTAAGGGGGCATTGTGACATACCTCTGCACTGATCACTGAGGTGATGTGAACCCTGTCTAAGCTCTCCCTATGGGTGCATTGTGAGATATCTCTGCACTGATTCCCCAGATGATGCAACTCCTTTCTAGGCTTTGCCTAAAGGGGGATTTGTCACATCTCTATAGTGATCACCCAGGTGATGTAACCCATTTCTAGGCTCTGCCTACAGGGGAATTGTGACATATCACTGCACTGATCACCCAGGTGATGTAACTCTTCTTTAGGGTGTACTTTCAGGGGGCTTTGTGACGTACCTCTGCACTGATCAACTAGGCGATATAACTCTTTTCTAGGCTTTGCCCTGAGGGGGCATTGTTACATATCTCCATACTGATCACCCAGGTAATGCAACTCTTTTCTACTCTCTGCCTACAGCGGCATTGTGACTTATCACTACACTGATAACACAGGTGATGGGACTCTTCCCTACACTCTGCCTACAGGGGTCTTCATGACATATCTCTGCACTGATAACTCAGGTGATGGGACTTTTCTCTATACTCTGCCTAAAGGGGGATTTGTGACATTTCTGCACCGATAACCCAGGTGATGGAAGTCTTGTCTAGGCTCTGTCTACAGGGATTTTTGTGACATATCACTGCACTGATCACCTAGATGATGTAACTCTCATCTAGGCTCTGCCTACAGAGGCATTTTGATGTATCACTTCACTGATCACCCAGGTGATATAACTCTTGTCTAGCCTCCGCCTACGGGGGTATTGTGACATATCTCTGCACTGATCACCCAGGCAATGCAACTCTTCTCTAGGCTCTGCCTACAGGGGTCTTTGTGACATATCTCTGCACTGATCACCCAGGTGATGGAAGTCTTGTTTAGGCTCTGTCTATGGGGTCATTGTGTCAAATATCTGCACTGATCACCCAGGTGATGTAACTCTTGTTTAGGCTCTGTCTGAAAGGATTTTTGTGACGTATCACTGCACTGATCACTTAGATGATTTAATTCTTGTCTAGGCTCTGCCTACAGGGGCATTTTGATGTATCATTGTATTCATTACCCAGGTGATGTAACTCTTGTCTAGGCTCTGCCTATAGGGGGCATTGCGACATATCTCTGCACTGATCACCCAGCTGATGGAACACTTGTCAAGGCTCTGCCTACATGGGCATTGTGACACATCTCTGAACTTATCAACCAAGCGATGTAACTCTTGTCTAGCCTCTGCCTACAGGGGTTTTGTGACATATCTCTGCACTGATCACCCAGCTGATGGAACTTTTGTCTAGGCTCTGCTACGGGGGCATTGTGACATATCTCTACACTGACCACCCAGGTGATATAACTCTTGTGTTGGATCTGCCTATGGGGACATTGCGACATATTTCTGCACTGATCACCCAGGTGATGGGACTCTTTTCCAGGCTCTGTGTATGGGGGCTTTGTGACATATCTCTGCACTGATCACCTACGTGATGAAACCTTTGACTAGGCTCTGCCTACTGGGGCATAGTGACATATCACAGCATTGATCACTCAGATGATGTAACTATTGTCTAGGTTCTGCTTAAAGGGGCCTTGTCACATATCTCTGCACTGCTCATCCAGCTGATGAAACATTTGTCTAGGCTCTGCCTACATAGGCATTGTGACACATCTCTGAATTGATAAACCAAATGATGTAACTCTTGTCTAGGCTCTACCTACAGGGGCTTTGTGACATATCTCTGTACTGATCAGCCATGTGATGGGACTTTTGTCTAGGCTCTGCCTACGGGGGCATTTTGACATATCTCTACACTGATAATCGAGGTGATTTAACTCTTGTGTTGGATCTGCCTAGGGGGCATTGTGACATATTTCTGCACTGATCACCCTGGTGATGGGACTCTTGTCTAGGCTCTGTGTATGGGGGCTTTGTGACATATCTCTGCACTGATGACCCAGGTGATGTAATGCTTGACTAGGCTCTGCCTACTGGCGCATAGTGACATATCACTGCATTGATCACCGAGGTGATGTAACTGTTGTCCAGGCTCTGCCTATAGGGGGCCTTGTGACATACCTCTGCACTGATCATCTAGGTGATGTAACTCTTGCTTATGCTCTGCCTGCAGGGGCATTGTGAAATATCTCTTTACTGAACCACCAGGTGATGTAAATCTTGTCTAGGCTCTGCCTACAGAGGGCATTGTGGCATAACTCAGCACTGATCACCTAGGTGATGGGACTCTTCTCTAGGCTCTGCCTACAGCGGTCATTGTCACATATTTCTGCACTGATCATCTAGGTGACGGACTCCTGTCTTGGATGTGCCTATGGGGGCATTGTGACATATCTCTGCACTGCTCACCCAGGTGATGTAACTCTGGTGTAAGCTCTGCCTAAAGGGGCACCGTGACAGATCTCTGCACTGATCACTCAGGTGATGTAACCATTGTCTAGGCTCTGCTTAAAGGGGCCTTGTCACATATCTCTGCACTGATCACCCAGGTGATATAACTCTTGTCTAGGCTCTGCTTACAGGGGGTATTTTGGCATATCTCTGCACTGGTCACCTAACTGATGTAACACTTGAGTAGGCTCTGCCTACAGTGGCATTTTGACATACCTCTGCCCTGATAAGCAAGGTGATTTAACCCTTGTCTACGCTGTTCCCACAGGGGGATTGAGACGTATCTCTGCACTGATCCCGAGGTGATCCAACTCTTTTCTGGGCTCTGCCTACTGGGGACATTGTGACATATCTCTGCACTGATCTCCCTGGTGATGTAACATTTGTCTGGGCTCTGGCTACACGGCATTGTGACATATCACTGCACTTATCACCCAGGTGATATAACTCTTGTCTAGGCTCTGCCTACAGGAGGCTTGTGACATACCTCTGCACTGCTCACCCAGGTGATGTAACTCTTGTCTAGGATCTGCCTACAGGGTGCTTTGTGACATATCCCTGCAATGATCACCCAGATGATGTACCACTTGTCAAGGCTCTGCCTACAGGGGCATTGCGATGTATCTGCACTGATCACCTAAGTCATGTAACTCTTATCTAGGCTCTGCCAACAGTGGCATTGTGACATATCTCTGCACTGATCACCCCGTGGAGAGAATTCTTGTCTAGGCTCTGCCTACAGGGGCCTTTGTGAGAGATCTCTGCACTGATCACCTAGGTGATATAAAACTTATAAGCTCTGCCTACAGGGAATTTTGACAAATCTCTGTACTGATCACCTAGGTGATGTAACTCTTGTCTACCCTCTGCCTACAGGGGGCATTGTGAAATATCTCTGCACTGATAACCCAAGTGATGCAACTCTTGTCTAGGATCTGCCTACAGGGGGTATTGTGAAATATCTCTGCACCGATCAACTAGGTGATGTAACTCTTTTCTAGGCTCTGCCTACAGGGGCGTTTTGACATATCTCTGAACTGATGAGAAAGGTGATGTAACTCTTGCCTAGGCTTTGCCTACAGGGGACATTGTGACATATCTCTGCACGGATCACCCAGGTGATGTAACTCTTTTCTAGTCTATGCCTACGGACGGTGTTGTGACATCACTCTGCACATATCACCCGGGTTATGTAACTCTTGTCTGGGCTCTGCTTATGGGAGCATTGTGACTTATCTCTGCACTGATCACCCAGGTGATGTAACTCTTGTCTAAGCTCTGCCTACAGGGGCATTGGGACATATCTCTACACTGATCACTGAGGTGATGTAACACTTGTCTAGGTTTTGCCTACAGTAGGATTTATGACATATCTCTGCACTGATCTCCCAGTTGATGTAATTCTTGCCTAAGCTCTGCTTACAGGGGTATTGTGAGATCTCTGCACTGATCACCCAGGTGATATAATTCTTGTCTAGGCTCTGCGAACAGGGGCATTTTAACTTATCACTGCACTGATCATCGAGGTGATGCAACTCTTGTCTGGGATCTGCCTACGGGTGGCATTGTGACATATCTCTGACCTGATCACCCAGGTGATGTAACTCTTGTCTAGGCTCTGCCTGCTGGAGACATTGTGACTTATCTCTGCACTGATCACCCAGGTGATGTATCTCTTGTCTAGGCTCTGGCCACAGGGACATAGTGACATATATCTGCACTGATCACACAGGTAATGTAACTCTTCCCTAGTCTTTGCCTACAGAGGGCGTTGTGACATATCTCTGCACTGATCTCTCAGGTGAGGTTACTCTTGTCTAGTCTCTGCCTACAGAGGGCGTTGTGACATCACTCTGCAATGATCACCCAGGTGATGTAACCATTGTCTGGGCTCTACCTACATGGACATTGTAACATGTCTCTGCACTGATCACCCAGGTGATGTAAATTTTGTCTAGGCTCTGCTCACAGGGGCATTTTGACATATCTCTGCACTGATCACCGAGATGATGTAACTCTTCTCTGGGCTTTGCCGACAGGACTAATTGAGACATATCTCTACACTGATCACCGAGGTGATGCAACTCTTGTCTAGGCATTGCTTACAGGGTGCATTGTAACATATCTCTGCACTGATCACCCAGGTGATGCAACTCTTCTCTAGGTTTTGCCTACAGAGTGCATTGTGACATATCTCTGCAGTGATCTCCCCGGTGATGTAACCTTTGCCTAGGCTCTGGCCACGCGTCATTGTGACATATCACTGCACTGATCACCCATGTGATATAACTCTTGTCTAGGCTCTGCCTATAGTGGCATTGTGACATATCTCTGCACTGATCACCCATGTGATATAACTCTTGTCTGGGCTCTGCCTACAGTGGCATTGTGACATATCTCTGCACTGATCACCCAGGTGATATAACTATTGTCTAGGATCTGCCTACAGGCTGCTTTGTGACATATCCCTGCAATGATCATCCAGGTGATGTACCATTTGTCAAGGCTCTCCTTAAAGGGGCATTGCGATGTATCTCTGCACTGATCACCTAGGTCATGTGACTCTTGTCTAGGCTCTGCCTGCAGTGGCATTGTGACATATCTCTGCACTGATCACCCAGGTGATATAACTCTTGTCTGGGATCTGCCTAAATGGACTTTGTGACAGAACCCTGCACTGATCATCCAGGTGATGGGGTTTTTGTCTAGGCTCTTCCTACGGGGGCATTCTGACTTATTTCTGCACTGATCACCCAGGTGACGGACTCTTGTCTTGCATCTGCCTATGGGGGCATTGTGACATATCTCAGCACTGATCACCCAGGTGGTGTAACTGTTGTATAAGCTCTACCTACAGGGGAATTGTGAGAGATGTCTTTACTCATCCCCCAAGTAATGTAACTATTGCCTAGGCTTAGCCTACAGGGGGCTTTGTGACATAACTTTGCACTCACCACCCAGGTGATGTAACTCATTTAAGCTCTGCCTACAGGGGCTTTGTGACATATCTCTGCACTTATCACTCCTGGAGAGAGAATTCTTGGCTAGGCTCTGCCCACAGGGAGCTTTGTGACATATATCTCTGCACTGATCACGTAGGTGATGTAACACTTTTATAAGCTCTGCCTACAGGGAATTTTGACAAATCTCTGCACTGATCACCTAGGTCATTTAACAGTTCTCTACGCGCTGCCTACAGGGGGCAATGTGAAAAATCTCTGCACTGATCACCCCGGTGATGCAAGTCTTGTCTAGGATCTGCCTACAGTGGGTATTGTGAAATATCTCAGCACTGATCACCTAGGTGATGTAACTTTTTTCTACCCTCTGCCTACAGGGGGCAATGTGAAAAATCTCTGCACTGATCACCCAGGTGATGCAAGTCTTGTCTAGGATCTGCCTAAAGGGGCATTTTAACATATCTCTGAACTGATGGCAAAGGTGATGTAACTCTTGCCTAGGCTCTGCCTACAGGGGACATCGTGACATATCTCTGCACTGATCACCCAGGTGATGTAACTCCTGTCTAGGCTCTGCCTACAGGGGCATTTTAATATATCACTGCACTGATCACCGAGGTGATGCAACTCTTGTCTGGGATCTGCCCACAGGGGGCATTGTGACATATCTCTGACGTGATCACCCAGGTGATGTAACTCTTGTCTAGGCTCTGCCTACTGGAGACATTGTGATAGACATTGTGACTTATCTCTGCACTGATCACCCAGGTGATGGAACTCTTGTCTAGGCTCTGGCAACAGGGACATAGTGACATATATCTGCACTGATCACACAGGTGATGTAACTCTTTTCTAGTCTTTGACTACAGAGGGCGTTGTGACATATCTCTGCACTGATCTCTCAGGTGAGGTAACTCTTGTCTAGTATCTGCCTACAGAGGGCGTTGTGACATCACTCTGCAATGATCACCCAGGTGATGTAACCCTTGTCTAGGCTCTGCCTACATGGACATTGTGACATGTCTCTGCACTGATCACCCAGGTGATGTAAATTTTGTCTGGGCTCTGCCCACAGGTGCATTTTGACATATCTCTGCACTGGTCACGGAGAAGATGTAACTCTTCTCTGGGCTTTGCCGACAGGAGGCATTGAGACATATCTCTGCACTGATCACCGAGATGATGCAACTCTAGTCTGGGCTCTGCCTACAGGGTGCTTGTGACCTATCTGCCCTGATCACCCAGGTGATATAACTCTTGTCTAGGCTCTGCCTCAAGGGGGTATTGTGACATATCTCTGCACTGATCACCCAGGTAATGCAACTCTTCTCTAGGCTCTGCCTACAAGGTCCTTTGTGACATCACTATGTATTGATCATCCCGGTGATGTAACTTTTGTCTCAGCTCTGCCTACAGGGGCTTCGTGACATATCTCTGCACTGATCACCCAGGTGATGGGACTTTTGTCTAGGCTCTGCCTATGGGGGCATTGTGACATATCTCTACACTGATCACCCAGGTGATGTAACTCTTATGTTGGGTCTGCCTATGGGGGCATTGCAACATATTTCCGCACTGATCACCCTGGTGATGGGACTCTTGCTTACGCTCTGCCTGCAGTTGCATTTTGAAATATATCTTTACTGATCAACCAGGTGATGTAACCCTTGTCTGGGATCTGCCTACAGGGTGCTTTGTGACATATCCCTACAATGGTCACCCAGGTGATATACCACTTGTCAAGGCTCTGCCTAAAGGGGCTTTGCTGTGTATCTCTTCACTGATCACCTAGGTCATGAAACTCTTGTCTAGGCTCTGCTTACAGGGGGTATTTTGACATATCTCTGCACTGATCACCTAAGTGATGTAACACTTGAGTAGGCTCTGCCTACACTGGCATTTTGACATACTCTGCCCTGATAAGCAAGGTGATTTAACTCTTGTCTACGCTGTTCCCACATGGGGATTGAGACGTATCTCTGCACTGATCCCGAGGTGATCCAACTCTTTTCTGGGCTCTGCCTACTGGGGACATTGTGACATATCTCTGCACTGATCTCCCAGGTGATGAAACTTTTGTCTAGGCTCTGGCTACACGGCATTGTGACATATCACTGCACTTATCACCCAGGTGATATAACTCTTGTCTAGGCTCTGCCTACAGGGACCTTGTGACATATCTCTGCACTGCTCACCCAGGTGATGTACCATCTGTCAAGGCTCTGCCTACAGAGGCATTGCGATGTATCTCTGCACTGATCACCTAGGTCATGTAACTCTTGTCTAGACTCTGCCTACACTGGCATTGTGACATATCCCTGCACTGATCACCCAGGTTATGTAACTCTTGTCTAGGATCTGCCTACAGGGTGCTTTGTGACATATGCCTGCAATTATCACCCAGGTGATGTACCACTTGTCAAGGCTCTGCCTACAGGAGCATTGTTATGTATCTCTGCACTGATCACCTGGGTCATGTAACTCTTGCCTAGGCTCTGCCTACAGTGGCATTGCGACATATCTCTGCTCTGATCACCCAACTGATTTAACTCTTGTCTAGGATCTGCCTAAAGGGTCTTTGTGACGTAACTCTGCCCTCATCATCCAGGTGATGGGGCTTTTGTCTAGGCTCTGCCTACGGGGGCATTGTGACGTATTTCTGCTCTGATCACCCAGGTGACGGACTCTTGTCTTGCATCTGCCTATGGGGGCATTATGACATATCTCTGCACTGATCACCGAGGTGATGTAACTGTTGTATAAGCTCTGCCTACTTGTGAGTTGTGAGAGATCTCTCCACTGATCGCCCAAGTGATTTAACTATTGTCTTGGCTTTTCCTACACGGGGCTTTGTGACATATCTGTTCACTGATCACCCAGGTGATGTAACTCATCTAAGCTCTGCCTACAGGGGCCTTGTGATATATCTCTGCACTGATCACTCCCGGGGTGGGAATTCTCGTCTAGGCTCTGCCTACAGGGGGCTTTGTGACATATCTCTGCACTGATCACCTAGGTGATGTAACAGTTTTATAAGCTCTGCCTACAGGGAATTTTGACAAATCTCTGCACTGATCACCTAGGTGATGTAACTCTTGTTTAGGCTCTGCCTACAGGGGGCATTTTGATATATCTCTGCACTGATCACCCAGGTGATGCAACTCTTCTCTAGGAACTGCCTAAAGGGGGTATTGTGAAATATCTCTGCACTGATCAACTAGGTGATGTAACTCTTGTCTAGGCTCTACCTACAGAGGCATTTTGATGTATCTCTGAACTGACGAGAAAGGTGATGTAACTCTTGCCTAGGCTTTGCCACAGGGGACTTTGTGACATATCTCTGCACTGATCACCCAGGTGATGTAACTCTTCTCTGGGCTCTGCCTACAGGGGACTTTGTGACATATCTCTGCACTGATCAACTAGGTGATGTAACTCTTGTCCAGGCTCTGCCTATGGGGGCATTGTGACGTATCTCTGCAATGATCAATCCGGAGATGTGACATTTGTCTAAGCTCTGACTACATGGGTCCTGGGACACTTCTCTGCACTGATCACTGAGGTTATTTAAAACTTGTCTAGGCTTTGCCTACAGTGGGATTTTTGACATATCTCTGCACTGATCTCCCAGTTGATGTAACTCTTGTCTAGACTTTGCCTACAGGGGGTATTTTGAGGTATCTCTGCACTGATCACCGAGGTGATGTAACTCATGTCTACGCTCTGCCTACTGGAGACATCGTGACATATCTCTGCATTGATCACCCAGATGTTGTAACTCTTTTCTATGCGTGGCCACAGGAACATAGTGACATATATCTGCGCTGATCACATATGTGATGTAACTCTTGACTATTGTTTGCCTACAGAGTGCGTTGTGACACATCTCCGCACTGATCTCTCAGGTGAGGTAACTCTTGTCTAGTATCTACCTACAGAGGGCATTGTGACATCACTCTGCAATGATCACCCAGGTGATGTAACACTTGTCTAGACTCTGCTTACATGGACATTGTGACTTGTCTGAGCACTGATCACCCAGGTGATGTAAATTTTTTCTAGGCTCTGCTCACAGGGGCATTTTGACATATCTCTGCACTGATCAACGAGATGATGTAACTCTTGTCTGGGCTTTGCCTACAGGAGGCATTGAGACATACCTCTGCACTGATCACCGAGGTGATGCAACTCTTGTCTGGGCTCTGCCTACAGGGACATTGTGACATATCTCTGCTCTGATCACCCAGGTGATGTAACTCTTGTCTGGGCTCTGCCTACAGGGGTTATTGTGACATATCTTTGCACTGATCACTCAGGTGATGGGACTATTTTCTATACTCTGCCTAGAGGTGGATTCGTGACATAGTCTCTGCACTGATAACCCAGGTGATGGAATTCTTGTCTAGGTTCTGTCTATGGGGGCATTGTGTGAAATATCTGCACTGATCACTCAGGTGATGTAACTCTTGTCTAGGCTCTGTCCACAGGGATTTTTGTGACATATCACTGCACTGATCACATAGATGATGTAACTCTTGTCTAGGCTCTGCCTACAGAGGAATTTTGATGTAACACTGCACTGATCACCCAGGTGATGTAACTTTTGTCTAGGCTCTGCCTATAGGGGGCATTGTGACATATCTCTGCACTGATCACTCAGGTGATGTAACTCTTGTCTAGGCTCTGCCTACAGGGGGTATTGTGACATATCTCTGCACTGATCACCTAAGTGATGTAACACTTGTGTAGGCTCTGCCTACAGGAACATTTTGAGATATATCTGCACTGTTAACCGAGGTGATGTAACTCTTGTCTAGGCTGTCCCCACAGGGGGATTGAGACATATCTCTGTACTGATCCCGAGGTGATCCAACTCTTGTCTGGGCTCTGCCTACTGGGGATATTGTGACATATCTCTGCACTGATCTCCCAGGTGATGAAATTTTG
Organism: Homo sapiens; assembly: GCF_000001405.40. NCBI lineage: Eukaryota > Metazoa > Chordata > Mammalia > Primates > Hominidae > Homo > Homo sapiens. The sequence continues at coordinate 56,850,665 of NC_000024.10, forward strand.
TCTAGGTTCTCGCTACATGGCACTGTGACATATCTCTGCCCTGATCACCCGAGTGATGTAACTCTTGTCTAGGATCTGCCTACAGGGTGCTTTTTGATATATCCCTGCAATGGTCACCCAGGTGATATACCACTTGTCAAGGCTCTGCCTACAGGGGCATTGCGATGTATCTCTGCACTGATCACCTAGGTCATGTAACTCTTGTCTAGGCTCTGCCTACAGTGGCATTGTGACATATCTCTGCCCTGATCAACCAGGTGATGTAACACTTGTCTAGGATCTGCCTAAAGGGACTTTGTGACATAACTCTGCACTGATTATCCAGGTGATGTGGCTTTTTTCTAGGCTCTGCCTATGGGGACATTGTGACGTGTTTCTGCCCTGAGCACCCAGGTGATGGACTCTTGTCTTGCGTCTGCCTATGGGGGCTTTGTGACATATCTCTGCACTGATCACCCAGGTGATGTAACTGTTGTATAAGCTCTGCCTACAGGGGAATTGTGAGAGATCTGTCCACTGATCACCCAACTGATGTAACTATTGTCTAGGCTTTGCCTACAGTGGGCTTTGTGACATATCTTTACACGGATCACCCAGGTGATGTAACTCATCTAAGCTCTGCCTACAGGTGCCTATGACATATCTCTGCACTGATCACCTGGGTGATGTAACACTTTTATAATCTCTACCTACAGGGAATTTTGACAAATCTCTGCCCGGATCATCTAGGTGATGTAACTCTTGTCTACCCTCTGCCTACAGGGGGCATTGTGAAATATGTCTGCACTGATCACCCAGGTGAGGCAACTCTTGTCTAGGATTTGCCTACAGTGGGTATTGTGAAATATCTCTGCAATGATCACCTAGCTGATGTAACACTTGTCTACCCTCTGCCTACAGGAGGCATTGTGAAATATCTCTGCACTGATCACACAGGTGATGCAACTCTTGTCTAGGATCTGCCTACAGGGCAGATTAATGTCAACATTAGACAGATCAACAACACAGAAAGTTAACAAGGATACCCAGGAATTGAACTCAGCCATGCACCAAGCGAACCTAATAGACATCTACAGAACTCTCCACCCCAAATCAACAGAATATGCATTCTTTTCAGCACACCACACCTACTCCAAAATTGACCACATAGTTCAAAGTAAAGCACTCCTCAGCAAACGTAAAAGAACAGAAATTACAACAAACTGTCTCTCATAACACAGTGCAATCAAACTAGAACTTAGGATTAAGAAACTCACTGAAAACCACTCAACTCCATGGAAACTGAACAACCTGCTCCTGAATGACTACTGGGTAAATCATGAAATGAAGGCAGAGATAAAGATGTTCTTTGAAACCAATGAGAACAAAGACACAACATACCAGTATCTCTGGGACACATTCAAAGCAGTGTGTAGAGGGAAATTTATACCACTAAATGCCCACAAGAGAAAGCAGGAAAGATCTAAAATTGACACCCTAACATCACAATTAAAAGAGCTAGAAAAGCAAGAGCAAACACATTGAAAAGCTAGCAGAAGGCAAGGAATAACTAAGATCAGAGCAGAACTGAAGGGAATAGAGACATAAAAAACACTTCAAAAAATTAATGAATCCAGAGATTGGTTTTTTTGAAAAGATCAACAAAATTGATAGACTGCTACCAAGACTAACAAAAAAGAAAGAGAGAAGAATCAAATAGATGCAATAAAAAATGACAAAAAGGATATCACCACCGAGCCCACAGAAATACAAACTACCATCAGAAAATACTATAAACACCTCTACACAAATAAACTAGAAAATCTAGAAGAAATGGATAAATTCCTCGACACATACATCCTCCCAAGACAAAACCAGGAAGAAGAAGAATCTCTGAATAGACCAATAACAGGAGCTGAAATTGTGGCAATAATCAATAGCTTACCAACCAAAAAGAGTCCAGGACCAGATGGATTCACAGCCGAATTCTACCAGAGGTACATAGAGAAGGTGGTACCATTCCTTCTGAAATTATTCTAATCAACAGAAAAAAGAGGAAATCCTCCCTAACTCATGAGGCCAGCATCATCCTGATACCAAAGCCTGGCAGAGACACAATCTAAAAAGAGAATTTTAGACCAATATCCTTGATGAACATTGATGCAAAAATCCTCATTAAAAATTCTGGTAAACCCAATCCAGCAGAACATCAAAAAGCTTATCCACCATGATCAAGTGGGCTTCATCCCTGGGATGCAAGGCTGGTTCAACATACACAAATCAATAAACGTAATCCAGCATATAAACAGAACCAATGACAAAAACCACATGATTATCTCAATAGATGCAGAAAAGACCTTTGACGAAATTCAACAACACTTCATGCTAAAAACTCTCAATAAATTAGGTATTGATGTGACCTATCTCAAAATAATAAGAGCTATCTATGACAAACCCACAGCCAATATCATACTAAATGGGAAAAAACTGGAAGCATTCCCTTTGAAAATGGGCACAAGACAGGGTTGCCCTCTCTCACCACTCCTATTCAACATAGTGTTGGAAGTTCTGGCCAGGGCAATTAGGCAGGAGAAGGAAGTAAAGAGTATTCAATTAGGAAAAGAGGAAGTCAAATTGTCCCTGTTTGCAGATGACATGATTGTATATCTAGAAAACCCCACTGTCTCAGCCCAATATCTTCTCAAGCTGATAAGCAACTTCAGCTAAGTCTCAGGATACAAAATCAATGTGCAAAAATCACAAGCATTCTTATACACCAATAACAGACAAACAGAGAGCCAAATCATGAGTGAACTCTCATTCACAATTCCTTCAAAGAGAGTAAAATACCTAGAAATCCAACTTACAAGGGATGTGAAGGACTTCTTCAAGGAGAACTACAAACCACTGCTCAATGAAATACAAGAGGATACAAACAAATGGAATAACATTCCATGCTCATGGGTAGGAAGAACCAATATTGTGAAAATGGCCAAACTGCCCAAGGTAATTTATAGATTCAATGCCATCCCCATCAAGCTACCAATGACTTTCTTCACAGAATTGGAAAAAACTACTTTCAAGTTCATATGGAACCAAAAAATAGCCTTCATCTCCAAGTCAATCCTAAGCCAAAAGAACAAAGCTGGAGGCATCACACTACCTGACTTCAAACTATACTGCAAGGCTACAGTAACCAAAACAGCATGGTGCTGGTACCAAATCAGAGATATAGACCAATGGAACAAAACACAGCCCTCAGAAATAATGCCACATATCTACAACTATCTGATCTTTGACAAACCTGAGAAAAACAAGCAATGGGGAAAGGATTCCCTATTTAATAAATGGTGCTGGGAAAACTGGCTAGCCATATGGAGAAAGCTGAAACTGGATCCCTTCCTTACACCTTTTACAAAAATTAATTCAAGATGGATTAAAGACTTAAATGTTAGACCTAAAACCATAAAAAACACAGAAAAAAAACCTAGGCAATACCATTCAGGACATAGGCTTGGGCAAGGACCTCATGTCTAAGACACCAAAAGCAATGGCAGCAAAAGACAAAATTGACAAATGGGATCTAATTAAACTAAAGAGCTTCTGCACAGCAAAAGAAACTACCATCAGAGTGAACAGGCAACCAACAGAATGGGAGAAAATTTTTGCAACCTACTCATCTAACAAAGGGCAAATATCCAGAATCTATAATGAACTCAAAAAAATTTACAAGAAAAAAACAAACAACCAACACCATCAAAAAGTGGGCCAAGGATATGAACAGACACTTCTCAAAAGACGACATTTATGCAGCCAAAACCCACATGAAAAAATGCTCATCATCACTGGCCATCAGACAATTGCAAATCAAAACCACAGTGAGACACCATCTCACACCATTTACAATGGCGTTCATTAAAAAGTCAGGAAACAACAGGTGCTGGGGAGGATGTAGAGAAATAGGAACACTTTTACACTGTTGGGACTGTAAACTACTTCAACCATTGTGGAAGTCACTGTGGCGATTCCTTAGGGATCTAGAACTAGAAATACCATTTGACCCAGCCATCCCATTACTAGGTATGTACCCAAGGGATTATAAATCATACTGCTATAAAGACACATACACACATATGTTTATTGCTGCACTATTCACAATAGCAAAGACTTGGAACCAACCTATACGTCCAACGACGATAGACTGGATTAAGAAAATGTGGCACAAATACACCATGGAATACTATGTGGCGATAAAAAAGGATGCGTTCCTGTCCTTTGTAGGGACATGGATGAAGATGGAAACCCTCATTCTCAGCAAACTATCGCAAGGACAAAAAAACAAACACTGCATGTTCTCACTCATAGGTGGGAATTGAACAATGAGAAACATGGACACAGGAAGGGGAACATCACACACCGGAGACTGTTGTGGGGTGGGGGGAGAGGGGAGGGATAGCATTAGGAGATATGCCTAATGCTAAATGACGAGTTAATGGGAGCAACACACCAACATGGCACATGTATACATATGTAACAAACCTTCACGTTGTACACATGTACCCTAAAACTTAAAGTATAATAATAATAAAAATAAAAAAAAAGAAACTGTGTGAACAAGGAATTCTTTGTCACATCTGTGCTTTGGTCAGTAATAGACCAGCAAGCAATTCATCCAGTCATCGTGGGCGTGGCTCCAGGAGGACTTCCTGCGTCCATGGAAGGGATCATCCCTGGAGGCATCCCAGTGACTCACAACCTCCCGACAGTGGCACATACTTCCCAAGCGCCCTCTCCCAACCAGCCCACAATCACGGGGACAATCGAGAGCAACCCAACGAGAAATAGTAGTGAATGCCGGAAGGTAATCATTTTGATACACTTGGGAACAAGGACAGTGAAAAATAGATGAACTAAGAGAAAAAGAATCTGACGCTCTTTTTAGCTGATTCTGGACATATGCATTATTGATGTTGCAGTGTTAAAACTACAAGCGTTAGAAAGTTGAAGATGTTGTCTGTTTACGGAAGCTCTGAAAGACTAGGGTGTGATTTATTAACGACCAGCTTCCGTTATTGTGTGTTAAGTTTTTCATCTGTGCGTCAAATCACAAAGAATAAATAGAACTTTTTCCTTTATCAGTCCCTTGGGCACAGCAGGTCAGGAACACCCTGCTCAGAATGTTGCATCAGGACTTCAAACATCAAAATAAAAACCATGAGGAGGAAATCCCCATCTTGTCACTTGAGTCCCTTCAGTCTACAGGGACTGGTTACAGCTTTTTGCTAATAGGAAGATCACATTATTAGAAAATGTGGAGTAAACTATTTGCCTGTGGTAGACACCTGCACGCATAGGATTGAAGACAGTACCGGCTCCTGTACAGAGAAGCGTCTCTCACATCTGAACTGCATGCTGAGTGGGCAAGTTGGTTGTAAGTTCAGAAAAAGCCTCCGATAATGCAAAAAAAAAAAAAACAGTATTAAGTTTCACAAGCTGTTTGTAATCAAAAATATTTTCTCAGTTTCAGATGCTCTGCTATTTTATTGAGTGGAAAGTCTTGCACTAAAAAGACTCAAGAAAAATAATGTTGCTTTTTCTGTCACAAGAAACACTTTTAGTGGTAACTTGTCAGATTGTCTATGAACAAATCCACTTTTTAAGACACTGATAAAGTCTTCTTTTCTTCACGTTGTATTTTATACAAGAACACTTCAGATGTATTGGATGTGACTGATTTTAACAAATCCTATTTGATTTGCATCGATTAGTTACATGTTCTGTTCATAGTCTTTTGTGAATCATTGCCTTTTTGTTTAAAAAATGGCCTATTTTGATCGTTTGGTTAGGTACCTTCCTGTTTTTGTGACAAAAGAAAAACTTTAAAATTGTCACAAACAGAAAAATAATGGCTATCAGAAGTATCCTTTGTTTTAGTGCGAGTTAACGTTACTGTAGTTGTTTATTGTAAAGATGGACATTTAGCATTCAGTGCAGTTTTCAATAAAATGTAATTAGAAAAAAACTACGTAATTAACAAAAACAGAGCATAGACAACAAAATAATATTAGAAGTGATACATAAAGAAAATGAGATATCAATAAAAAGATTTTTAAAAACCAACAAAAACTGTGAATCTGAACAACACAATAACTAGTTGATGATACTGTAGTTATAAATACTGAGTCATGAAAACAAATTATTTAAACAGAATAGAGAAAAAAATATGGGACGTACTGCACACCATCAAGTAGACCATTGTATTTATAAATGGAGTCTTAGAAAAAAAATACAGCAGAAAAGTAATAAAGAGATTATTTTTAAAAAGTAGCTGAGAAATCCCCAGATGACAAGGTAATTAAACAAGAAGATATACTGCCAAACAAAAACCTTCAACTGGAATAATTTCACTTCAGAAATAAAAAAAAAAAAATAAGCCTTTCCAGAATAAATAAAAGTTGAGTGTGTTACTAACCACTAGATCAGTCGTAAAGGAAATGTAAAAGAAAGTCTATCAAGTACAAAAATGAAATGATGCTGCACAGCATCATAACAGCATATGAAAATAGAAAGTGCTATATTAAAGGTAAATATATAAACAGGTATAGAAATCTCTATTGTCATAATGATGGTGCACAAAATTTTCAAAATATTGCTATGGAGTTTAAAAAATGAAGCATAAATCTGCATAAATGTGTGTTCATAGTTACTCAATAAGAAAAGATAATATGTGATATTAATAACACAGTGGGGGTATGAAAAGGTACAACTTTGCATTCAGTTGAAATATGGTTGTTATATATTATCATAACTGTAAGATGATTTATGAAGTCTTTATTTCTCAAGATGATTACCAAAAATACCTGTAGACCTCTGGTCGTCCTCCCACTGCTACATTCCCACTAGCGCCACCACAGTTTACAGATGCCATGGCAATATCAGAAATTTACCCTACATGGTCTTAAAAAAAAAAAGGAGGCATAAATAATCCACCCCTTGTTTAACATATTATCTAGAAATAACCATAAGAATGGGTAACCAGCAGCCCTCGGGCTGCTCTGTCTATAGAGTAGCCATTCTTTTATTCTTCTACTTTCTTAATAAACTTGCTATCACTTTACTCTATGGACTCGCCCTGAATTCTTTCTTGCACCAGATCCAATAACCCTCTCTTGGAGTCTAGATCAGGACACCTTTCCTATAACAGAAGGATGGGAAACAACTGGAACCTTCATCAACAGCTGGCAGATTGTAAACTGATACAGCCACTGCAAAATTTTTAGCAGTATCTCCTAAAACTGTACACATGCTCTATAAAGCACTTGCACTCCCAGACAGAGATCAAATTAAAGTACACAGGTGTGCACCAAAAGGTAAGGACAAGAAAGTTCAGGGCCGGGAACAGTGGCTCATGCCTGCAATTCCAGCACTTTGGGAGGCCGAGGCAGGCAGATCACCTGAGGTCAGGAGTTCGAGACCAGCCCGACCAACATGGTAAAACCCCGTCTCTACTAAAAAAAAATTAGCCAGGCGTGGTGGTGGGCACCTGTAATCCCAGCTTCTTGGGAGGCCGAGGCAGGGAGAATTGCTTGAACCCAGGAGGTGGAGGTTGCAGTGAGCTGAGATTGTGCCATTGCACTCCAGCCTGGGTGACAAGAGCAAGACTCCATCTCCAAAAAGAAAGAAAGAAAGAAAGAAAGAAAGAAAGAAAGAAAGAAAGAAAGAAAGAAAGAAAGGAAAGAAAAGAAAGAAAAGAAAGAAAGAAAAGAAAGAAAGAAAGAAAGAAAAGAAAGAAAGAAGGAAAGAAGGAAAGAAGGAAAGAAGGAAAGAAGGAAGGAAAGAAAGAAAGAAAGAAAGAAAGAAAGAAAGAAAGAAAGAAAGAAAGAAAGAAAGAAAGAAAGTTAGTTAATAATGGCATTACTCATAATGGACCCAAGCTTGGAAGAACCTGAATGTCAGCCAACAGCAGAACAGATAAACATATTGTGCAATATTAGTAAAGCTGAATGCACACAACAATAAACAAACCACTGCCATGTGCAACACCATGGATAGAGCTCACAAGCCTAAAGCTGAGAAAAGCAGCCAAAAGAAAAGATCCCATTTATAAAGCGAATAATAGGAAAACTAATCTATAGTGTAAAAAGTCAGAATAGGAGATACTTTTTGCTTGAGCCCAGTAGATTGAGCTGGGTGTGGCATGTGTGCCTCCTGTCCCAGCTACTCAGGAGGTTAAGGTGGGAGGATCGCTTGAGCCAGGGAGATTGAGGCTGCAGTGAGCCATGATCATGCCACTGCACTCCAGCTGGGGTGACAGAGCAAGACTCTGTCTCAAAAGACAAGATGGTCATTTTAGGCCAGGCGCGGTGGCTCATGCCTGTAATCCCAGCACTTTGGGAGGCCAAGGCAGGCAGATCACCCTGTCTTGGGAGGAGGTAAGAGCAGCAACTAAAAGAAAACAGAAGAGAGACTTCTGGGTTGCTGGTCATATCCATTTCTTAGGTGTTAACTATGTGAAAATTTTGAGTTGTACGTTCATGATCTCCTTACCTGTATGCCTCTCATACCACAATAAAAAAAATTAAGTACGAGACTAACATAATAGAGCTTGAAATGTGCAGAAATTGAGGGAGCTCGCCCAAGGAAATCATTACTAAACAGATACTAAAAGATTTCAGACAGGAGGAAAATGATCCCAAGTGGAAGATCTGGGATATAAGAAGAAATGAAGAGCAGGAAAAAGACAGGTGAATATATGGATAAAACTAAACAAATGTGAAATGTATAAAACAATAGAAGTAATGTCCCATGAAATATAAAAAGAAAAATGATAAAATATATCAAAACAACTTTGATGGGTCACAAGATAATTATGCTGAATAAAAAAACTCAATCTCAAAATATTAGACATTGTATGGATTCATTTACATGTGTTCTTGAAATAAAGTTACAGAGATGAAAAACCCATTAGTGGTTGCCAGGGGTCAGGGAGTGAGGAACGTGTTTGTGACTATAAAATGGGTAGCACAAGGGATCCATCCTTCTGATGGAACTCTTCTATATCTTGACGATGGTGATGGTGATTAGGTATCTAATCTATGTACACGATAAAATTTCATAGCACTAAATACACAAAAAAACCTAAAAGTGCACATAAAACTGGTGAAATCTGAACAAGGTAGTTATGCAAGACGTTACCATTGGGAGAAACTGAGTGAAGACTATATTGGATTTCTTTATATTATTTCTTAAAAGCACCTGTGAATCTGCAATTATGTCAAAACAAAAAGTTGAAAATATACTGTTGTAGCATAACTCAAGAGGAGTTTAATGCAATGAAAGTATTCTTAAGTTATCCTATCACCCAGGAGGAGGATAAATTTTCAACTTTCATAACTTAAATATGCACATTTAAATTAGCATGACAGTTACTAAAAGAATATAAACAAAGACTAACTTAAAATGACTAGAGAAGAAAAAAATCCCACCAATTGAAAAGAAGGCAAGAAAGGAAAAAAGAAACATAAGTAGGATAAATAGAAAGTGACAAAATGACACAAACACACATGCATGTACATACACACCACTCACCATCTATACAGAATCCAAGTATGTCAGAATACAAATACATGCAAATGGACTAAGTAATCCAATTAAAGATGGATAAATTGTTAAAATCCCATTCCATGCTATTTATAAGTCATATTTAAAATACAAAGATATAGAATGATTTTAAAAGGTATTAAAATATGTATCAGAGGAGCTGGACTTGGCGGCACATGCCTGTAATCCCAGTGACTCAGGAAGCAGAGGTGAGAGGATCACTTGAGACCAAGAGCTCAAGACCAGCCTGGGCAATATAGCCAAATTCTATCTCTAAAGAAATAAAAACAATTATTTGGCAGTGGTGGCACACATCACTCTAAAGACTGAGGTAGGAGGATCATTTGAGCCCAGGAGTTTAAGGCAGCAGAGAGCCACAGTCACGCCTGTGAACAGCCCCTGCACTATAGCCTTGGCAGCACAGTGGAAAAAAAAATACACACACACACACACACACACGTGAAAGATACACAGTGCAAAGTTTAACCAAAGTTACCATAGCTATATCATACATAATGTTGAAAGCATACATAAATGAAGGAAAACATTTCATTTTGATAAAAGTTCAAATTAAAAAAAAGATGTATATTTTTTGAATCATATGCACCCAAGTACAGCCTCAAAAAGCAAAAGTTGACAGATGAGGAGACAGACAAATCCATGCTTCTAGTAGGATATTTAATATATCTCTCAGTAAATAAAGTATAAAAATAATTAGGGAGGATGAAGATTTAAAATTATGAAAAAATAGACTAAATGCACACATACAGAACATGAGATTTAACTGCAGAAATAGACTTCCCTTCAAGAAACTGTGGACACGTTCAAAAATTAACCATATAGACGAGTGTTAAAACAAGTAAAAAATTTCAAAGAAAGTGGAGAGATCATAATTTCTGGTAACAATTTTAGAAACTTTCTAAAAGTATACTTTTAAATAGCCCATAGCTTGAAGATAAAATAAGGCAAATTCATCATCAATTCTACATATTTAAAACTGTAGGATATAATTAAATCCATTCATAAGGGGAAAATGATAGTCTTTTTTTTTTTTTTTTTTGAGATGGGGTCTCACTCTGTCACCCCGGCTAGAGTGCAGTAGCACAATCTTGGCTTACTACCCTCCACCTCCTGGGCTCAAGTGAGCCTCCCACCTCAGCCTCCTGAGTAGCTGGGACCACAGGCTCACACCACTACACCTGGCTAATTTTTTGTGTGTTTGGTAGAGATAAAGTTTCACCATGTTGTCCAGGCTGGGGAAATTTATAGTCTTAAATGAGAACATTAGAAAAGGAACTTGGGAAAAACATCAACAGACCGGGCACAGTGGCTCAAGCATGTAATCCCAGCACTTTGGGAGGCCGAGGCAGGTGGATCATGAGGTCAAGTGATCGAGACAATCCTGCCCAACATGGTAAAACCCCATCTCTACTAAAAATACAAAAATTAGCTGGGTGTGGTGGCACACACCTGTAGTCCCAGCTACTCGGGAGGCTGAGGCAGGAGAATTGCTTGAGCCGAGATTGTGCCACTGCACTCCAGCCTGGTGAAAGAGTGAGACTACGTCTCAAAAAAAAAAAAAAAAAAAAAAAAAACCTGAGCATCAGTCAACAAATCAGACAAAGAACAAGTTAAATTCAAAGAAAGAAAAAGGAAAAACATAACAAACAAATGAAATACAAAAGAAACACACAATAGAATCAGCCAAGCTAAAACTTGTGGTTCTTTTGGTTTTCAGATAGGGTCTCATTCTGTTGCCCAGGCTGGAGTGTAGTGGCTTAATCACAGCTTAGTACAGCCTCCCCCTTACAGGCTCAAGCGATCTTCCCACCTTTTCCTCTCAAAGTGCTGGGATTACAGGTATGAGCCACCATGCCCTGCTAAAATCTGGTTCTTTAAAAATACATTATAAAATTCACAGACCTTTAGCAAGATTTGTCAAGAAAAAGCAGTCAAACAACAATCTTGCACAGGAGGACTGTACTACAGATAGAAAGACTCTGAAAGGAAGTCATAACTTGCAGGCCAAGAACGATGGCTCACACCTGTAATCCCAGCACTTTGGGAGACTGAAGTGGGAGGAATGCTCAAGTTCAGGAGTTTGAGACCAGGCTGGGCAACATGGCAAAACCCCGTCTCTACCAAAAATACAAAAATTAGCTGGGCATGGTGGCACGTGCCTGTGGTCCCAGCTACTTGGGAGGCTGAAGAGAGATGGTGGCTTGAGCCTGGGAGGTGGAGGCTGCACTGAGCCATTATTGAACCACTGTACTCCAGCCTGGGCAACAGAGTGAGACCCTGTCTCAAATAAACAATTTCATAATGTAAAATTATGAATACCTTTATGCCAACAGACTTTAAAGCATAGATGAAAAATCTTTTTTTTTTTTTTAGACAACGTCTCATTCTGTCACCCAGGCTGGAGTGCAGTGGCACAATCACAGCTCACTGCAGTCTCGACCTTCCAGGCTCAAATGATCCTCCCACCTCAGCATCCCAAGTAGCTCACACTACAGGCACCCGCCACCACACCAAGCTAATTTTTATTTTTTTTGTAGAGATGGAGTCTCACTATATTGCCCAGGCTGGTCTTGAACTACTGTAGTCAAGTGGTCCTCCCACCTGAGCCTCCCAAAGTGCTGGGATTACAAGCATAAGCCACCATACTTGGTGAGATATGAATTTCTAGGGAAAAAAATCAAAATTCACTCCAAAAGTAGAAAAAAAACTTACATAGATTAAATATATTGAATCAGTCATGAAAATCTTCCCATAAAGAAATTTGTAGGCCCAAGTGCCTTCACCAAAAAGTTCCATGAAACATACAAGAGAAACAAACCAACCAAACAAACAAAAAAAAACTCTTCCACTAACACAAACAGAGAATACAGAAAGAAGACTCCCCAGTTCATTTTACAAGGTTAAAATAAAAATAACCTTGATATCAAAACCCAATAAGGCAAGGGCAAGAAAAAATATTTGCAGGCCATCATTATTCAACGTGGATCAGAAATTATTTTTAAGATGTACTAGCCAGGTGTGGTGGTCATACCTATAATCCTAGTAGTTTGGGAGGCCCGAGTGAGAGGATGGCCTGAGCTCAGGAGTTTGAGACCAGCCTGGGCAACAAGGCAAAATCCCGTCTTTATAAAAAATACAAAAATTAGCTGGGCATGGCAGCACACCTATAGACCCAGCTATTCGGGAGGCTGAGGTGGGAGGATCACTTGAGCCTAGCAGGTTGAGAATGCAGTGATCCCTGATCATGCCACTGTGCTCCAGCCTGGGCAACAGAGTGAGACCCTGTCTCAAAACAACAACAGAAAGATATACTGACCACCTGTGATGCTGGCCAGGATGGCGTATGCATGCTATGGCCTGTCATTTCCACTGATCACAATTTGAAACTCTGGACAAAATATAAATAGCAATGACCTAAGAACTCTGAAAAGTAACCAGCAGACAGGTTGGGAAACGTCAAAACCTGAAGAATTATCTGGATGGCGGTGGTGAGAGATCATATTCTGAGTCATAAAACAAACCCTGAAGTTAAACAATTAAAATTCAGTGAATTATTTTCTCTGATGACAGAATTAAACTAGGAATCTAGAACATTTCTAGAACATTCCCAAATATGAGAAGTTAAATGGTGTACTTCTAAATGGCCCATAGGTCAAAGAGAGTATCTTAAGACAAATTGGAAAACAGTTTGAACTTAATAAATATGACATCATCTTATCAAAATATGTGCTTACAGGGCAATTTATAGCACTAAATTATGAGAAATGAAGCATCAAATCAATAATGTAAGCATTTACTTTAAGTAAAAAAAGAACCAAATAAACTCAAATCAGGCATAAGAAAAACAGACTAAATCAGTAATATTTAAACAAAAACAGTAAAGGAAAAAAATTCAACGAAATCCAAAGTTGGTTCTTTGCAGGGGTGGTGGGAGGTGGAAATCAATCAAATGAGGAAGCCTCTAGCAGACTGACAAAGGAAGAAGAGAAAACACAAATTGCCAATACCAGAAATGAAAGGAATATTATTACAAATCCTGTAGACACTAGAAGGCTATAATGGATACTACAAAAACAAAACAAACAACTATATGCTTCTAAATTCTACAAATTAGGTGAAATAGATCAATTCCTTGAAAGACAGACTACCAAAACTCAAGAAGAAACAGACAGCTTGAATACCCCTGTATTTATTAAAGAAACAGAAGTGGCACAGCACTTTGGAAGACAATTTGGCAGGTTCTGATAAAGTCAAACGTACACGGACCATGTGACTCGGCAATCCTACCCTTAGGCATTTGCACAAGTGAAATGAAAACCTATGCTCAGACAAAAAGCACTTTGTGAATTCCAATCCACTTATAATTTACCAAAAAGTGAAAATAGTCCATATTCCTCCAATGACAAACCAATAAGCAAACCATGTAGTATTTATACAATGGATTACTATTTGGCAATAAAAAGGAATAACTGTTGATGCAGTACATGAAAGTAGCCAGACTCAAAAGGCTACATCCTGAACGATTCCATTTGTATAAAATTCTGAAAAAAAAGCAATGCTAGAGGAACACAGATCAGTGATTGCCAGAAGTTTACAATGGAAGGTTTTACTATAAAGGGCAAGGTAATTTTTGGAGTGATCATATAATTTTGTAATCTACCAAAAACAAACATAATAAATGGGCAGATAAGTAAAGTTCACGGATTGGAAAGTTCAATATTGCAAAGGTCTCCCAAAAATGACCTATCAATTTAATCCCAGTGGAAATTCCAATCAGTTTTGTGAAGGCTGCTAAGTCAACTCTAAAATGGCCAAGAATAGACAAGATCACCGGAGAGGAAACAGGGAGGTGGACACAAATATCTTCTGATTGATGAGTGAAATCATTAGAAGGCCAGCAAAAATACAAGTAAGCCAGAATTTCTAAAGCACCACAAAAGAACACTAGTTAGTAGTGCATCTAGGTATCTCTCAAATTTGTTGTAAACATAGGCCTTTAAAAAAACATTAGAAACTGATATTTAAAGAGATATAAACTCATATTAAGCTTTTAAAAAATTCTAAGCAAGGGCCTCACCTAATTTCATAAAAGGTTGCATAGAAGCAACCATTGCTGCAAACGATGTGCTGCCCTGAGATGTGAGGATCCCAGTGGTCCCTCTGGGTCAACAGCAGCTACCGCGGCTGAGCCCAAACTCTGACACATTATCTATCTACAATCATTATTTTTAACAATTTATATCAATGCTACCCATAAGGCACAGAGAAGCAGAAATGTTTATGTGGCCTCCTGCCAAAAACAATCACTTGCACTTATTTCTAGGACTACTCCAGAAGACAGTATTAGAAGTTTTTCAATTTAGAAAAACATTTACAGCAAAGAAAAAAATCTCTGTAAATTTCCTGCTTAACCAATCTAGTGAATTGTGATGAGCCATATAAATTCATTTAGCCACCTTATGAAAGACTTAATCCAAAGTCACTTCTAACTTCTAGAAGAGCTAATGCATTATAATAACAGTTGTGAAAGACTCAAAGGCCAGAAATGTCAAGGTGTGGTCTATATCTTAAATCCAGAAAAAAAACAAAAAGCAAGATGTACAGGCCAAATGATTGCCAATTTCTTCTGCCTATGTCATCTTTCTTCACTATAACCTGAAATTACATTTCATGTTTGACAATTCTCAGCAAGGAGACAAAACAAGCTTATGAGTAAAATAATAGAAAGCAGAGCCACAGAGAGTACGAGAGGCAGGAGTCATCTCCCAAGTCCAAGTTCAACTTCTATATTATTAGACAGGGCCTCAGTGTCTTTGAACTGTAAGGAATTAATATTGATTGTAGCATGAGTAAAACCTATCTTCTACTCATCATGAAAAGTCACAGTCGTTTTGTTTAAAGACTCCAGAATTATTATGGGCAGAAACAAGAAGGTTACACACTTATTTGGTGAAATGAGGAATCAGGAATGAGCATTCCCAAGAGAATACAATTACAAAAGTAAAATATCCTAGAGTTTTTGGGCTGCTTAAAAAACCCAGAAAGAAGTGCCAAATGAGAAAATAATCAAATTCAGTGGAAAAACTCACTTGAAGGTATCATGGTCAGCTGGGTTTCCACCCCTTTGTTGCACTTCAAATCCTGTGTCTTCCACAAA
This sequence comes from Homo sapiens, assembly GCF_000001405.40. Classification (NCBI taxonomy): domain Eukaryota; kingdom Metazoa; phylum Chordata; class Mammalia; order Primates; family Hominidae; genus Homo; species Homo sapiens. Next base: position 56,866,422 of record NC_000024.10, read on the forward strand.
GACTTGCTCCTTTCTAAAGGCTATGGTTCACGTTCAACAGAATAGCAGCAACCACCATGAGCCTGAGGGCTGGCTAGTCTTTAGTATTCTGCCTTATTCAAAGAAACGATCATTTCCCTCATTCCTAAAGAACTCCCATGTCCATTACAAAAAAAGGAGCAGCAGCCAGGGGCAGTGGCTCACACCTGTAATCCCAGTATTTTGAGAGGGCAAGGGGGGAGGAACACCTGAGGTCGAGAGTTCAAGACCAGCCTGGCAAGCATGGTGAAACCCCGACTCTACTAAAAATACAAAAATCAGCCGGGTTTCGTGGTGTGTGCCTGTAATCCCAGCTACTAGGGAGGCTGAGGCAGGAGAATTGCTTGAACCCAGGAAGTGGAGGTTGCAGTGAGCCAAGATCATGCCACTGCATTCCAGCCTGTGGGACAGAGCAAGACCCTGTCTCAAAAGAAAAAAAAAATTCTTACCTCCTGGAAGTATTTTACTAGTGTTGGTTTCTATTTGACACTAAACACTTCCCCAGGCCAGTGCATTAGCAGTTAGCTCCTTACTGAATATTATCTGCAGCAAACAGTAGCTGACTCCTAGCTCTCTTCAGTGAACTTGAATTGAAATTTATAGAATTCTCATGACTTCTATTTCATCTTGAAACCCAGAGACTCCTTCCCTTTCCTAGTGATTTACCTTTCAATTATAGGCAGACTGAACCAGTCCCAGCTGTCTTTAGTTGGTCTCTATTCAAACACTGTACTTTTGTTTCTTGATTACATCTTCAATTATTTTAGTTATTTCTGAGATTCTCCCCTGTAATTTCTCCAACTATCTAGGGCATAAAGAGTGCATGAATAACATTATGAAGGCTGTGAGACTTCAAATAAATGAGTAGCCTTTCTGAGCCTCAGTTTTCTCCTCTGTAAACCAGGAATAATTTTTACTGAACAAAGTTGTTCTAAGGATTAGTGAAATGTATGTGCAGCCTTTAGCTTAATAGGTGATCAAATGGTAAATGGTGTTTATAAAATGTCTTTATCATAGTAAAGTATATATATATATATATATATATATATATATTTTTTTTTTTGAGATGGAGGCTTGCTCTGTCACCAGACTGGAGTGCAGTAGTGGCGCGATCTCGGCTCACTGCAAACTCTGCCTCCCAGGTTCAAGGATTCTCCTGCCTCAGCCTCCCAAAGTGCTGGGATTACAGGTGTGAGCCACCGTGCCCAGCCCGATTTTAACCAGTCTTAAGTGTGCAGTTATTGGCATTAAGTGCATTCATGTTGTTGTACAACCATCACCACCATCCATCTCCAGAACATTTTCATCATCCCGAGTGAAACTCTGTACCCAGTAAGCAATAAGCCCTCATGCCTCTCTACCCCAGCCTCTGGCAACCACCAAACTACCTTTTTTTTTTTCTTTTTTCTGACAGGGTCTCTCTGTCGCCCAGGTTGGAGTACAGTGGCATGATCATAGTTCACTGAAAGCTTGAACTCCCAGATTCGAGTGATCCAACCCACCTCAGCCTCCCCAGTAGTTGGGACTACAGGTATGTTCCACCACACCTGACTTTTCTTTTTAAAGTAGAGATGAGGTCTCCCTATGTTGTCTAGCCTGGTCTTGAACTCTTGGGCTGAAGTGATCCTCCTGCCTTATCCTTCCAAGATGTTGGGATTACAGGAATGAGCCACTGAGCCTGACTATCCTACTTTGTTTCTATGAATTTTACTGATCTAGATATCTCATATAAGTGGAATCATATATAAGGGAGGAAAAATATTTTTCCTCCACCCTTCTAATTTCTTGGCTGGGGATCTTTTAACAAAAGACAGATTAACAAGAGAAAAGCATACACATTTACTTAACATAAGTTTTATATGACACAGAAAAAATTGACTTTTCTGGAAGTAACTTGATATAACTAGGAGCCTTTGTAAGGAAATAAAGACCTGAAGAAACAGTTAAACATATGTCTTTGTATATTAGGTTTGTCAAAAGACTAAATTACAACAAATTAGGTTTTATATTATCAGAGGACTACAACAAATTTATAGATTTAATTGGCTTTTATTCATGATTCATGAATCTGGGCACCTTCCACTCTACAAAACAGAATGAGAGTTCCCACTGGGCAATAGCAGAACCACAGGTTTTATGAGGTAGCAACAAGGAAACAGAATAGAAAAACCTGATTGGTTAACATCAAGCTACTTCAGTTACTTTTTTTAATGGTTAAAGCAGAGGGCACTTCCTTCTTCCACTGATTTAAGTAGACTGGAATCTCATGTTTTCAGGAAAAACTGGTCTGTTTGGGGATCTGCTTCCTTAAAGTTTCAGTTTGATGACACAGCATTTAGCATAAGTAATTCCATTTTGGTTTGGTCTGATCTGTTGAAGGCTAGTGCAGGGGCTCAGCCCAAAAGAATGACCTCCCATAATTTTTAACAGTTTGATAAAGAGTGGAGAGAAGCAGAAAATTGCGAGAGGACAAAAAGGGTTAGGAGCTAAGTGTAGTAAACTGGGAGGAACAGCAGGAACTATCATTCAGATTCCTCTCAGCGTTATCTTAAGAGACAAAGATGCTCCTTCCTCCAGGGACAGGGACGGCACCTCTCACCCAAGGGCCTTGTGACCTGCATCAGAGAAGAGGGTGAGAAGGTCAGAGTGTCCTTCCTATCATTTCTGAGTTTCCTTCAGCTTCAAACATTCAATATGCTAAGGTGGCTATTTTGGAGATTATCAAGAAGCTGATCACATAAAATACTTGTTCTTTGGTGACTGGTTTATTTCATGTGGCATAATGTCTTCCATGTTCATCCATGGTGTAGCATGTGTCAGAATTGCCTTTCTCTGTAAGCCTGAATAGTATTCTACTGCATATAGTGTATATATACCATATTTTTTTATTCATTTGCAGATAGACTCTTGGCTTGCTTCCACCTTTTGGCTATTATGGATAATGCAATGGTATATTTTAACTACAGATCTTTTTACACCAAATAGACATAAACAATCAAAAGAATTTATCCTAGGCCCACAGAGAAGGCAGATGGGGTCCTTGATCAATTACAGGGGTTCTCTTTTTAAAATGACTTCTTCATAAACCTATGTGAGGGGAATACTGACAGTACCTACTTTTTATAGATGGAAATTCTATTTAAGAGCTCTCATGTCTGGGTGTGGTGGCTCATGCCTGTAATCCCAGCACTTTGGGAGGCCAAGGCAGGCAGATCACAAGGTCAAGAGATCGAGACCATCCTGGCCAACATGGTAAAACCCATCTCTACCAAAAATGCAAAAATTAGCTGGGCATGGTGGCATGCACCTGTAGTCCCAGCTACTTGGGAGGCTGAGGCAGGAGAATAACTTGAAGCCAGGAGGCAGAGGTTGCAGTGAGCTGAGATTGCACCACTACTGCACTCTAGCCTGGTGACAGAGCAAGACTCCGTCTAAAAAGAAAAAAAAATTCTCATTACTTTCTCATATTACACAGAGGAGCTAAATATGACAATTAACTGAAGAAAGACAAACTGCTAATCTCAAGCAGTTATTACAAACTGTCAAGTTAATATAGACAGCAATCTGCAGTTTAAAAATGCCAATCACTACAAATCACAGGGAAAACATCTGTGCTTCAGTGGAAACACTACATTGTTTAGATCACACTCCTTCAGACTTTTGAGATAGGATCTCCCTCCATCACCCAGACTGGAATGCAAGGGTATGATCCTGGCTCACAGCAACCTCCACTTCCCTGGCTCAAGGGATTCTCCCACCTCAGCCTCCTGAGTAGCTGGGACTACAGGCTCATGCCATCATGCTCAGCTAATTTTTGGAAACTTTTTTTGTAGAGAGAGGGTCTATGTTGCTCAGGCTGGTCTTGAACTCCTGGGGTCAAGAGATCTGTCTACCTCAACCTCCCAAAGTGCTGGGATAACAGGAGTGAGCCACTGCACCCAGCGCCTTTAAGGTTTTCTAGTCTAGCCTTTCACCTGTTTTATGGTATGTGAAGTTGAAAAGAACTGATAATGCAAATGATTCTTGTTTATAAATATGCAAATCAACCTGCCTTGGAAAGCCAATCCTTCTCCATGTGGCAAAGCCACTTATGCATCAATTTCCAGTTTATTTCAATATTCTGAGTAATAGATGTGTCCGTCCCTTTGGGTTCCCTTTTGAACTGGTTGTAACATCTCACTGCTCACTTCATTAATAAAATATTTAACATTTATATCTATATGAGTGATAGTTTTTCCTGTTTTTGAAAAGTTACCCTTTAACAAATATAACATGCACAGGTGAGTTAATGCCATGCTTCTCAAAGTATGGCCTGTGGAAGGAGCAGCCTGGCGCTCCCTCACAGTATTTTTGACAGAAATGCATTCCACTGGGCCCCACCTCAGGAGTGTGGAGTTGTAGCCGGATCCCTTTCACTGACACATTAAAGTTAGAGCCACCCTAGGTTAATACACATCACTGACCGGCCTCAAGGAATAGGAGTGCTGGGTCTATCAGTCTCTCCCAACCATTCCCTGGGCTTTGCCAAGTGCTTTCTGCCTGCCGAGCTCACTCTTGGATCAGATGGGGCCTCCCTGCCAGCAGTTCTACCTCATCCTCTCTGCACCTAAGTCAACTCCAGAGTTCACAGACCTCACTTCTGATCTCCACCACCCCTCCTCCCCTTCCACGGTGACTCAAACCTTCAGGCAGTGAAAATAAGGAGACTCACAAACTAGGAGACTACAGCTTCAGACCACACATTTTCCACTGAGCCAGTACCTGAGCAAAAACTAGTTTTCTGGAGTTGGGTGGATGAGAAGATTTGATATTGAAAGTGTCCTTGGTGGCATTTCAAAGCTCAACATCATCTAACAAAAATTTTATTCCTTTTTCATTTCTGTTAGGGAATGTTTAGTTTTTCCTCTTTGATAATGAAAATTTGGTTAACAAACATTGCTTTGGACCAATCTTCCTTTTCACAAATCACTGAGGTGTGTCTATCCACAAGTTCTCAGTTCAGCCTACATTTTCCAGTCTTCCATTTACCTATTCAACTAATACCTGAGTGCCTGGCATGTGTCGGCCCTGTGAACATGCTGGTGACAGTGTGAGCAGGCAGGGCTGGTTCCTGTCCTCATGAAGCTTATACTACCTGAGGCTGGGGTGTAGAAATCGACACATTAAAAAGGCTACTGAGACTTTAAAAAAAAATATATATATATATATATATGAGAGGCATACAAAGATGCTGAGCTGGAGCTTTGGAAAATGAAGAAAAAGTAATACAAATTTAAAATGTGACATCGAGGAATGAAGACCATCACTTAACATATCCTATGTTTAAAAAATCGAATGTCCATAGGAAGTTGTCTGGGAGGTGGGCAGGGTTTCATACTGTAATGAGTATTTAGAAAGCTTAGAAGAGTTCTAATGGTTCTTAATTTAAGAATTATAAGAGGTAGATTCAGGTAGAGAGAGATTCCCATGATATTCACTGCTGGGTGGAGAAGGAGATCCATCCCCCTCCACTCACAAACATCCTCTTTGTGTTTTTACTCGGCAGTCCTTCATTTAGCTGATCCATCTGTATTTATATTTGTTCTCTTCTGGATCTTGTTTCATAGTCAATATCAAGTGTTTTTGTGTAAACTGCCTGGTCTTGACAGACCAGGCACGAAGGTAGGCACCATTCACACAGCATTGCATTTAATCTTCACAAGACCCCTGCAAGGTGGGTCTCAGCCTCCCCTGATACAGGTGAAGCAGGAGGCTCAGGGCTGCTACAACTTGCCCCCAGTCCCAGAGCTGGTACACAGCAACCCAGATTGACGGATTCCTATACCCATCCATGCTGCCTAGCCTAAACATGTTGTTGGTGCCAAAATTGTTTAAATTAACCCGAGGTTATCTAAAATTAACTCAAAGTTAACATACGCTATTTGGAAGTAGTGGTGGCAATGACTTATCAGAGAACTTTTAAGGGAAACAGCTGTGGCAAACGAGCCTGACTCACACTGAAGTTATCTGTAATCAAGTTGCCAACTGACAACTGATTAGTGAATGAAGCTGAGCGCCAGGACTCACGACAGCTGTCTGTTTCATAAACACGCCCTCGTTCCTCCTTTTGGCCGACTACTAAAGGGTTTAGGTGTCACGCAGCATTTAGATGTTATGCAGAATGAGCAACAAGCAAAGTGTAGGTGCAATCAGATAAGAGCGGAGAATTACCAGTATCTTTACAATCACCTGTTGGTCATTTCTGTGGATAATCACCAATTCAGAACAGCAAGGACTGAGAAGCCACAAGGTTCCCTTAAAAGGCCTCATCCACTTGCATACTTCTGTTTTCAGGAAACAAAAATTACGTTATGTGGGCTCACAGTCAATAGATTTTTGTTCTGATTTGTATTTCCATGATACATAATTAAGTTTTGTGGTTTGAGGTTGAAAGAATTCTGAATATGTATGCTAACACTGATTCACATTAAAGCTAAGCACTAGGCTGGACGCGATGGCTTACGCGTGTAATCCCAACACTTTGGGAGGCCGAGACGGGCGGATCACTTGAGGTCAGGAGTTTGAGACCTGCCTGGCTAACATGGTGAAAGCCCGTCTCCACTAAAAACACAATTAGCTGGGCGTGGTGGTGGGCACCTGTAATCCCAGCTACTCGGGAGGCTGAGGCATGAGAGTTGCTTAAACCCAGGAGGTGGAGGTTGCAGTGAGCCAAGATTGGGCCACTGCACTCCAGCCTGGACAACACAGCTAACAAGACTGTCTCAAAAAATAAAATAAAAACAAAGCTAAGCACTATATATTAAGTAGATGATTGAATATTTTAACCAAAGGTGTAAATTATTAACCAGGATATTTAAAAAGCAATGAATTGAAGTTGCTGACATTTTTAAGAGAGCTGTTTCTTTCCCTAAAGTTTTAATATCAAACACACACACACACACACACACACACACACACACACACACAAGTATACTTGGGTGGTGCCAATAAAAAGGAAACAAAAATAAAATGGAGAAATGGAGATAATGATGAACCCAAGCTAAAGGAAGAGGAGGAGGGGGTAGATATATGTTATTTTCGTTCTTTCCTATTTCACTCTTCATTGGAAAAGCACTTGAGTTACAGTTTGTGATTCTGTTAGTCCTTCAGTATGGTAAAACAAACAGGTTTATCTCATGTGCAAATAATCAATGAGGAGTGGTTGCCTCCAAGAGCCTGGGTAATGTTGACCTTAGTGGGAAGGATCTGAATCAGCTGCCAGGGCCACACATGTGCTGTGTGTTTGTTGATCCCGCCTTATGTCAACCAGTCAACATCAAAAACGATCAGGGCATTGCTAGGCAACCGCTTCTTCAGTCTTCACTAGTCAATTATTGTGATTAGGATATTTTGTTTTCCTAAACGGAACTTGATAGATGGATAGAATGGATTCTACATCGCATTTTTTTCCCCTCTATCACGCACAGATGCCGTTGAGTATATCGTCTCCTCCTTCTGTGCAGGGAGCCCGCCCTATGTAAGGTTAACAGGAAGGACACAAAGGTATGCAGTGTAGAAAAAAATAGAAATAAGGACCCAGACATAACTCTGAAGGAGCTTCTAACCATGTTGTGCAGATGAGGAAGACTCAATAATTAGTAAGTTATCCAAAGAAATTAGGGCTTTTTACTAGCAGAACAGTAAAAATTCTAAGTTTGATAACACACTGAGTTGAGAAGGCTGTGGGAAAGAGGTATTCACTCACATTGCTGCTAGAAGTATAAACTGGTATAACCCGTCTAGAGGAGAGTGATTTAACAATTATCAAAACTAACCACCTAGTCCACATCTAGACATTTATTTTGCAGATATACTTGCCCAAATGCAAAATGTCAGATACACATTGTTTCTTGCAGCTTTGCTTATAATTGTAAAAATAGCTCTTCTAAGTTTCCTATTGCTGCTATAATCAGTTACCACAAATGTAGCAGCTTAAAACAACAGAAACTTATCTTATTATAAGCCTGGAGGTCAGAAGTCTGAAACGCGTCTTGCGGAGCTAAAATCAAAGGCTGGTTCCTTCTGGAGGCTCCAGGGGAGAGCCCGTTTCCATGCCTCTTCCTTCTGCTGACGGCTTTCCACATACCTTGGCTTTTGATCGTATATCACTGCAATCACCACTTCCATCTTCGTATCGCCTGAGTCTGACGCTTCTTCTTCCCGCTTATAAGGACGCTTGTGATTGATTCCATTGTGCCCACCTGGATGATACACGCTCCTCTGCCCATCTCACAATCCTTACTCCCAAGGCCCCTTTGGCTATGTAAAGTAATATATTCCTAGATTCAGGGATTTGAATGTGGACATCTTTTTTTTTTTGGAAAGACAGTCTCACTGTGTCACCCAGGCTGGAGTGCAGTGGTGCAATCTCTGTTCACTACAACCTCTGCCTCCCGGGTTCAAGTAATTCTCCTGCCTTAGCCTCACAAGTAGCTGGGACTACAGGCGCATGCCACCACACCCGGCTAATTTTTTGTGTTTTTAGTAGAGATGGCGTTTCACTGTGTTAGCCAGGATGGTCTCAATCTCCTAACCTCATGATCCGCCCACCTCAGCCTCCCAAAGTGCTGGGATTACAGGCTTGAGCCACCGCTCCCGGCCTGTGGACATCTTTTATTCAGCCTATCACAATAGCAAACGTCTGGAAACAAACTGGATGTCCATCAGCAGTGGAATGATTCAATACATTATGATAAATTCATACAACAGAATACAGTTGTTTAAAATATGAGAAAATGTATTATGTACTAAACAGAAAACTCACCAAAATATAATGTTAGGTGAAAAAAGCAAAGTACAGAACAGACACAGGAATGCAGTATACATAATTTGCTTGTATATATGAGGATTAAACTATCTCTGGAATGATATACCAGAAATTAATCATGGTGGTTACCTGTAGGACAGGAAGAGGGTGCTGGCATTGCAAGAATGAGACTTTTCACTAACACTCTTTCATAATTTTTTATCTTAGAAACTTGTAACTATATTACTTATCCAAAAAGTAAAATAATAAAGTCTAGAAAGAGTAAAAAGAAAACAAAGTGTAAAAAAAGTTATAGATGGGGGATAAGTTCCCATTGTAAGACTCTTTATGCTAGAGCTGTACAATTTTTAAAAATGAGAAGTATGTATATGTTACCAGGAATGCCAGGATATATGATCAAGTGACTGAAAACTATGAGCAAAATAAAAAACAGAAAAAAGAAACAAACCCACAAGTGCTTCAGGTATTAGAATTATCAGACATGAACTTTAAAGTCATTGGTAATATTATCAAACCTAGGTTTAAATAACTACTAGTTTTTTTTTATCTTGGTGCTAGTTACAGAGGTTTATTTACATTGTGATAATTCACCCACTTGTACCTTTAAGATGGCACACTTTCTCTCAGGTATATTATACTTCAATAATATTTTACAAAAGTAGAAAACTTGTGGGATGTGACTAAATCTGGGGTGGGGGGAATCTATAATCGTAAACACATGTATTTGAAAACAAAACAAAAAAAGTACTGAAAAACTGATATGATAGGTGTGGTGGCTCACATGTATAATCCCAACATTTTGGAAGGCCAAGGCAGGAGGTTTGCTTGAGGCCAGAACTTCAATACCAGCCCAGGCAACATAGTGAGACCTGTCACAGCAAAAAAAAAAAAAAAAAAAAAAAAAAAAAAAAAAAAAAAAAAAAAAAAAATTAATTGGGCATGGTGACACACACCTGTGGTCCCAGCTACTTGGAAGGCTGAGGAGGGAGGATTGGATCACTTGAGCTCAGTAATTTAAGGCTGCTATGAGCTATGATTCATCACTGCACTATAGCCTGAGTGACACAGTAAGACCCTGTCTCAAAAAAAAGAAAAAGAAAAAACTCCAATGATCTATGCATCCATCTCAAAAATCCCAGCAAATTAAGCTGAATGAAATTAAAATGATGGAAATAATAAGGATAAAAGCTGAAATCAATGAAAAAAAAAAAAACCAAAGACATAATAGAGAAAATATAAAAAGCCAAAGCTGTTTCTTTGAAAACAGTATTCCAGTTGCTAATCTCTGTGGCAGCCAGCCTCCAAAATGGCCCCCAGTGATTTTCACTTCCGCTATCCATGCCTTGTGCAGTTCTCTCTCATATTAAATATGGCTAACCTGTGTTATCAAAAAGCTAGTTCAAATTTCCTAGGCTAGATTATAAAACACATGGCAGCTTCCACCTTGTTCACCCTGGGTGAAAGTAGCTACCATACTGCAAGGACATTCAAGCAACCCTACAGAGCTTAATGCATTACATTACAGAGGTGTCCTGCTAACAGACAGCATTGACTTGCTAGCCATGTTAAGTGAGCCGTCTTGAAATTGGATGCCCTAGTCTCAGTCAAGCCTTTGGATGACTGCAGGCCTAATCAACATATTGACCAAGACAGAACAACCTAGCTAAAGCATTTCTCAAATCAGGAACCACAGAAGCTCTATATTAGTTTGCTATTGTTGTACAACAAATGAACATCTCAGGAAATATACATATATTGTCTAGTATATTTTCTCTTATACAGTTTCTGTGGGTCAGGATTTCATTTAAGAAAATACATGTTTATTCTTTTTTAAGTGTTTTTTTTACTTCCTTTTCTTTAAATTTATTTTTTATTTCAATAGGTTTTTGGGGAACAGATGGTGTTTGGTTACATGAATAACTTCTTTAGTGATGATTTCTGAGATTTTAGTGCACCCATCACTCGAGCAGGGTACACTGTACCCAATGTGTAGTCTTTTCTCCCTCATCCCCCTCCCACCCTTTCCCCTGGGTCCCCAGAGTCAATTGTATCATTCTTATGCCTTTGCATCTTCATAGCTTTGCTCCCACCTATGAGTGAGAACATATGATATTTGGTTTTCCATTCCTGAGTTAATTCACATAGAACAAGTCTCCAATTCCATCCAGATTGCTGCAAATGCCATTATTTTGTTTCTTTTTATGGCTGAGTAGTATTCCATGCTACATATATACCACATTGTCTTTATCCATTCGTTCACTAATGGGCATTTGAACTGATTCCATATTTTTTCAGTTGCAGATTGTGCTGCTATAAACATATGAGAAAAGGCCAGTTACCGTGGCTCATACCTGTAATCCCAGCCCTTTGGGAGGCCGAGGCAGACAGATCACCTGAGGTCAGGAGTTCAAGACCAGCCTGACCAACATGCAGAAACCTTATCTCTACTAAAAATACAAAATTAGCTGGGTGTGGTGGCACATGCCTATAATCTCAGCTACCTGGGAGGCTGAGGCAGGATAATTGCTTGAACCCGGGAGGTAGAGGTTGTGGGGAGCTGAGAGCGCACCACTGCACTCCAGCCTGGGAAACAAGAGTGAAACTGTCTCAAAAAAAAAAAAAAAAAAGGAGGAAAAAAACGTATTTATTGTCTCGTATTTTCTGTGGGTCAGGAATTTGGTCACAACTCAACTGGGTTCACTGCATAGGGTTTCACAAGGTTGCAGGCAAGGTGTCAGCTGAGCTAGGTTCAAGCTCATTGAGGTTGTTGACAAAATTCATTTTCTTATGTCTGTATGATTGTGTAGCTATGTTTTTTATTGGGTATTGGCTGGAGGCCACCCTCAGGTCCTAGACACCACCTGCTGTTGGGCTTCCTCAATATGGTCACACACTTCATCAAATCAGCAAGGAGAATCTTGTGTGCATGCCAGCAATATGTCTATCTCATATCCTAATGTATGTCTCTCTCCTCCTCCTCTCCTCTTCTCTCTCCTTTCTTCTGTGTGCACACACACACACACACATATCACAGGAGTAACAACCCATCACATTTGCAATATTATGTCAGTTAGAAACAAGTCACAGATCCTTCTCACACTCACTCGATTTCATCCAAAAGTTTGGGCAGTGATCCCATCCACACTAAAAAAGGAAGAGATCATACAGAGTATAACACCAGGACATCGAGATCATGGGAAACATCTTAGAAGTCTGCCTATCACAGATAATAAATACTTGTTGTTGTTTGAAGACATTAAGTTTCAGGTAATTTCTTATGCAGCAATAGATAACTAATTAGTAAGAGTTGTGCCTAACTAATTAGGCACAAGTTAGAATATAAGGAGTGAACAGTTATCACTATAGATCCTACAGATACTAAAAAGATAAGAGTTTGTTTTACTATAAGCAAGCCTATCACAATAAGACAATTTAGATTAAAAGGCTGGTAAGTTTTATGCTTTGTATATTTTACCATGATAAAAACATTTTATAACCATCACTTACCATTTGATCACCTATTAAATGCTAAAGGCTGTACATACATTTCACTAATCCTTAGAACAACTTTGTTCAGTGAAAATTATTCCTGGTTTACAGAGGAGAAAACTGAGACTCAGAAAGGCTACTCATTTATTTGAAGTCTCACAGCCTTCATAATGTTATTCATGCACTCTTTATGCCCTAGATAGTTGGAGAAATTACAGGGGAGAATCTCAGAAATAACTAAAATAATTGAAGATGTAATCAAGAAACAAAAGTACAGTGTTTGAATAGAGACCAACTAAAGACAGCTGGGACTGGTTCAGTCTACATATAATTGAAAGGTAAATCACTAGGAAAAGGAAGAAATATCTGGGTTTCAAGATGAAATAGAAGTCATGAGAATTCTATAAATTTCAATTCAAGTTCACTGAAGAGAGCTAGGAGTCAGCTACTGTTTGCTACAGATAATATTCAGTAAGGAGCTAACTGCTAATACACTGGCCTGGGGAAGTGTTTAGTGTCAAATAGAAACCAACACTAGTAAAATACTTCCAGGAGGTAAGAATTTTTTTTTTTTTTTTGAGACAGTCTTGCTCTGTCCCCAAGGCTGGAATGCAGTGGCATGATCTTGGCTCACTGCAACCTCCACTTCCCAGGTTCAAGCAATTCTCCTGCCTCAGCCTCCCTAGTAGCTGGGATTACAGGCACACACCACCATGCCCAGCTGATTTTTGTAGTTTTAATAGAGATGCGGTTTCACCATGTTGGCCAGGGTGGTCTCAAACTCCTCACCTCAGGTTATCCGCCCGCCTTGGCCTCTCAAAGAGCTGGGATTACAGGCATGAGCCACTGCACCTTGCTGCTCCTTCTTTTTTTGTAATGGACCTGGGAGATCCTTAGGAATGAGGGAAAGACTCATTTCTTTGAATAGGGCAGAATATTAAAGACTAGCCAGCCTTCAGGCTTATGGTGGTTGCTGCTATTCTGTTGAACGTAAACCATAGCCTTTAGAAAGGAGCAAGTCTTTGTGGGATACACAGGATTTGAAGTGCATCAAAGGGGTGGAAACCCAGCTGACCATCATACCCTCAAGTGACAGTCACGTTCCAGTGATCCTCCTACTTCAGCCTCCGGAGTAGCTGGGACTACAGGCTACAGAAACTTCTTTTTTGGGACAGAGTCTCGCTCTGTCACCCAGGTTGGAGTGCAGTGGCGCAGTCTCAGCTCACTGCAAACTCCGCCTCCCGGGTTCACACCATTCTCCTGTCTCAGCCTCCCTGGTAGCTGGGACTACAGACACCCACCACCACACCCGGCTAAATAGTTTGTTGTTGTATTTTTAGCAGACACGGGGTTTTACCGTGTTAGCCAGGATGGTCTCGATCTCCTCACCTCATGATCTGCCCGCCTCGGCCTCCCAAAGTGCTGGGATTACAGGTGTGAGCCACTGCACCTGGCCAGAAATTTTAAGAGAACAAAAATAAAGGGAACAGAGCCATGCTCAGTTTTTGAGATTACAATAAACTTGATACCAAAAGTAGTCTAAAAAATTACAAAAAGTAAAACTACAGGCTAATCAGTCACATGAACACGAGCCCAAAAGTCATTTTTAAAAACAGCACACTAAGCGGGACACAGTGGTTCATGCCTGTAATCCCAGCACTTTGGGAGGCCGAGGTGGGAGAAGTGCTTGAGCTCAGGAGTTCCCTTTATTTTTGTTCTCTTAAAAGTTTCTGTATCCTCTAGGCCCATCTACTCAAGAGGCTGAGGTGGGAGGATAACTGGAACGTGACTGTGAATAGCCACTGACTCCAGCCTGGGCAACATAGTGAGACTCTGTCCCTAAGATTTAAAAAAAAATCTGTAATGTTGGTGTTATTTTTTCCCTTTCATTGAGGAATTCACCAGTGATGCCATCAGGAACTGGGGATTGTTTTTGTGAGGAAGTTTTAAATTATGGATTCTATTTATTTCATAAATATACGGGTATACATACTCTTATATTTGGTTTTGGTAAGTTGTGTTTTTCAAGCAGTATGTATACAACCTTTTAATTTGTTTCTGCTTATAATAATTGTGGGATCTTTTTTTAAAAAAATGATTGACTTTTCATGAATAGAAGATAAGTTTTACTAATACTACACTCAATGTTAATTCCTTGAAGTTCAAGGACACTGAGACCCCGTCTAATAATACAGAAGAAAAACTAGGATAGTGGCAAGACTAGCCTGGGGAGCAAAGTGAGACTCCAGTTCAAAAAAATAAAAAAATTAGCCAGGTGTGGTCACACACATTCTGTGGTCCCAGCTACTTGGGAGGCTGAGGCAGAAGAATAGCTTGAACCCAGGAGGTGGAGGTTGCAGTGAGCCTAGCTTGTGCCATTGCACTCCAGCCTGGGCGACAAGAGTGAAACTCTGTCTCAAAAAACAAAACAAAACAAAACAAACAAACAAACAAAATATATACAGAGAGAGAGAGAGGCTGCCTAGAGAGGAGTAATACACTAAACTAGCAATGCTAGTTTCAATTTAGGGTGAATTACTTCAGTAGAGAACGGAAGTACATGCACTAGCCTGAATATGTTAATTTAAATTAAAAAAAAAAACTTAAAAAAAAAATTAGAGATGGGGTCTCGACATGTTGCCCAGGCTGAATCCAAACTCCTAGGCTCAAGCAGTCCTCCCCCCTCAGCTTCCGAAGTAGCTGAATAAGCTAATTAACTTGTTTTGTTTCTCTCAGGGAGTGCACAACAGGTGGAGGGAGGAGGCAGGAGTGTGGGGATGAGAGCACCTTCCCAAGAAAAGGCCTGGAAGAGTTTATAACAACCAGGAAAGGCCTGGGGCACAGCAAAAGGAACTGGCCTTTGCCTCTGGGAGAAAGGAATGCCTCCTCCCTTCTTCCAGCCTCCCTTAAGAAAAATACCCAGGAATGCCCCCAGCCCTGTGAGCACAGAGCACTGGTGTGAGTTGTTTACTTGTTAATGAGTTTGCACCACTGTCTGCATGTAGTGAGTCATTCAGGTCATTCTGGGGTGATGTTGGTATGCACAAACCCCTCCTTTAATCTGGTTGGCTAGTTCAGAATAGACAAGTTTTAACACTGCTTCCTTCTCCCATCGAGAAGTAAAGCCCAGGTTCTGAGGAGCAGACTCCATCTGGAGACCATGTTTGGTGAACCTGAGCTTTGGGAAAGACACGGCTTCAACCTCAAGTTGTTTTGCCCCTTCCTGTGGCTGACAGCATCAGAGGTCAGGATCACAATGAATTTTACCATTTTGATGGGGATTTTAAAAAGTGACTGTTTAAAAAACGCTGCTTTGAAATTTTTTTTAATCTTGATTTATATAAGCATTTATTTCTTGATAAGATTTGAATTATAACCTAATTGATAGACTTAATATTCTTTGGGGCTAAGACTACATGAGAAAAAAATGTTATACAGATTTTTTAAATGATTCCTGGGCTTAAGGAAAAAATTAATTTTAAATCCTTACCAGTCTCCCAGATAATTAATGAGCAGGTGTTGCCTGGGAGTGTAAAGATTTTTAGGTCTTATGACCTCGTGGCCCCTTGGTCCAAAAAATAAGATTACTTGCCTCTTTCCTTATTCTTACCGGATAGAATAAGACTCTTTTAAAACATCTAGTTTAGGTTAGAAAAGAAAATGGGACACCATATTTGTAATTGACTTAACATTTATAAGTACCTGATTTAAATGAACTTTACTCAAAGTACACTCCACAAAAGGCACTTCAAATTTCACTGGAGCACAGCCCTTTGTGTTGAAGAATAACGTAGAATAAAATAGCTTTCTTTTTTAACACCACCACAACACTCAAGGAAATGAAAGTAGGTAAGGCATATATCTGTGAACAGCAGTGCTATCCATTCCATGAATGTTTAGGGTTTACTCCATGTTAGGCACTAGGAACAGGATGGCAAACAGGGCAGACAGGTCCCCTGACCTCTTCCACCACCCTACAGTCGAGTGAAGAAAGTAGATTTTTTAAAAATTATTATTATACTTTAAGTTTTAGGGTACATGTGCACAATGTGCAGATTACTTACATATGTATACATGCGCCATGCTGGTGTGCTGCACCCATTAACTCGTCATTTAGCATTAGGTATATCTCCTAATGCTATCCCTTCCCCCTCCCCCTACCCCACATTGCTCTTCTCTCCCAGGCTGGAGAACAGTGGTGCTATCTCGGCTCACTGCAACCTCTGCCTCCTGGGTTCAAGAAATTCTCCTGCCTGAGCCACGTGAGTAGCTAGGATTACAGGTGTGCAACATGACACCTGGCTAATTTTGTATTTTTAGTAGAGATGGGGTTTTGCCAGTTGGCCAGACTGGTCTCGAACCCCTGACCTCAGGTGATCCTCCCGCCTTGGCCTCCCAAAATGCTGGGATTATAGGCGTGAGCCACCATGTCCAGCTAGATTTTAAATATTAACAAAATAATTACAAGTTCTGATTATTACTGTTAAGAGAAAAGCACAGAGATAAAATAACATCAGAGAGGGGGCACCACCACTTTAGGAAGCCAGGTAAGGGCTGGAGGAGGTGAAATTTAGGCAAAGATTAAAGGACATTAGGAGTCAGACCTGCCATAGCAGGAGGGAATAACATCCCTGGCAGAGAGGAAAGCTTGTTCAGAGCCATAGTCCTGAAAGAAGCTTGTTTGAGGGACTACAAGAAGACCAATGTGCTTGAAGCATAATACATCTAAGATCAGATGTGTGATGAGTTTGAAGAGGCAGCTAGATCACCGTAAGAACTTTGGAGGGCTTTTGGCAGGAGAGTGACATGATCTGATCTGATGTATATTTTGAAAGGTCACTCCAGCCTCCAGGTAGCAGTGGAAGAAGACATGCAAAAATCACAATCATAACTTACACGGCATGGTAGCTTGGAGTACGGAGGAAGAGGAAGAACATCTGGGGTATATTTTGGAAGTGGAATAAACAGATCTGCTGGTGGATGGAGAAGGGTGGGGTGAGGGTTGGTAATGAGGAGCCAAGGATGACTCATTTTCAGGTTGGAGTAACTGGGAAGGCTTGGAAGACTAGTGGAGAAACAGGTTTGGAGAGAGAAGTCTCAGTCCCTTAGTCATTCACCTCAGTTTCATAGTCACTGGAATACCTTAGATCTCTTATCTACCATTTCTTTAAAAACATGCATAAGCCCAGGGAGGCTGATGGGGGAGGATCCCTTGAACCCAGGAGTTTGAGGCATACCTGGGCAACACAGCAAGACCCTGTCTCTCTAAAAACAACAACTACAAAAAAAAGGTGGGGGGCAGAAAAAGGCTGGGCACAGTGGCACACGCCTATAATCCCAGCATTTTGGGAGGCCGAGGCAGGTGGATCACATGAGATCAGGAGTTCGAGACCAGCCTGACCAACACGGTGAAAACCTGTCTCTATAAAAATACAAAATTAGCCAGGCGTGATGGTGTGCACCTGTAATCCCAGCTACTTGGGAGGCTGAGACAGGAGAATCGCTGGAACCTGGGAGGCGGAGGTTGCAGTGAGCCAAGCTAGTGTCACTACACTGCAGCCTGGGTAACAAAGCAAGACTCTGTCTCAAAAAACAAAAAACAAACAAACAAACAAACAAACAAAAACAGAAAGAAACATGTGTAGCAGAAAACTGCTGCCCGCTGGGCCTAAACTAACCCCAGATTTTTTTTATATATATATATATAGCAAGAGCTTACAGAACAGGCAGCACCAAGTGGGAGCTGGGGGGCTTGTCTTGATGTTGCATTTGATAAATATACACAGTTTTTGCTCAGATTATATTTTTGCTTAGATTTGGGCTAAAGATCCCCAAAGCTGCCCCTTGGTATTGACACTCATTAAGAAATTAAGGAAGAGATAGTACTATTGAACTATTTTCCAAAAAAAGAAAAAAAAAAGACAAAAACCCAAAACAAATGGGATGTGATGTACATTTTCCATGTTATTTTATACATGAGCTATCTTTCCAATACTGAAGTTGGTTTAGCAAGAAAATAATTAAAGACGTCAATGTGCAAACCAAGAGCCAAAACCACTCTCAACAGCCCAAGGTTGTGAACGTATTTAATTTGCCGTTTCCCTGGGAAGTCATTTCTTGGATCATTGACTTACTATTATTCTGTAAAACAGTGGTAGCCCCTGCCTTCCTCTGCTTGCTGCCAAGAGTATGATCCAGCAGTGGGGTCTGAAGAGTTTATGTTTATTGGATTTTAATGACTTAGTTAACAAAGGTCATTCCTAAAAGTAATAGAAAACTAAGGGTGTGGAAACAGAACGGAAAAGACTGACTCGAGGGTTATTTCTAGTAGTTCCTTGGTGTTGTCCTTAGATACATGTTTAATCCTTAAAAGCAATTATGAAGGAGTCTTCCTCATAACCAATTTACTGATGCTATATTCAACTATACTTGTAAAATGTTATTTTAGACCTCTCAGTAACAAAAGGAACAGGGCTTAAAATATGTTAGATAATATTGCCATAAACAATGTACTGTTAACATAATATTGCTGACAGTATAATTGTAATTCACTGTAATACTTGAATGCCACAACTGTAGTGCTTCCATTATCGCTGACAGTAGGAAATAACTTCAGTCTCAGGTGAAATCTCCTTGGATACAAATCTCCAAGTTAAAAGAAACCTAAAAGACCATTTAATCTTGTCCTTTTAAATATTTAGTAACTCATTTGGCAGTAAATATTTATCCAAATTATGTTTCTTAGACTGTAAAAGAATTTCCAGGCTGGGTGTGCTGGTTCATGCCTGTAATCTTAGCACTTTGGGAGGACGAGGCAGGAGGATCACTTGAGGCCAGGCATTCGAGAACAAATTGGGCAACAAAATCAGACTTTATCTCTATTCAAAGTAAATAAAACTAAAAAAAAAATTAGGGGCTGGGCACAGTGGCTCACACCTGTAATCCAGCATTTTGGGAGGCCAGGGCAGGAGGATCACCTTAAGTTAGGAGTTCAAGACCCGCCGAACCAACATGGAGAAACCCCATCTCTACTAAAAATACAAAATTAGCCAGGCATGGTGGTGCATGCCTGTAATCTCAGCTACTTGGGTGGCTGATGCAGGAGAATTGCTTGAACCTGGGAGGCGGAGGTTGCAGTGAGCCAAGATCACACCATTGCACTCCAGCTTGGGCAACAAGAGCAAAACTCTTGTCTCTAAATAAATAAATAAATTAGCTGGGTATGGTGGCACACACCTGTAGTCACATCTACTCAGGAGGCTCAGCTGAGAGGATTGCTTGAGCCCAAGAGTTTGAGGGTGTAGTGAGCTATGATTGCACCACTATACTCCAGCCTGGGTGACAGAACAAGACCCTGTCTCAAAAAAAAAAACGAGCTAAATGGTGATTGAATTATTTAAAATTAAATTGATGAGATCATTTAAGAATATGTGGAAAGAAAGAAATTTATAGTCATTCTTCAGGTATAAATTAAATATTTTCCACCTCAAAAATCCAATGACATGAGATATAAATGTATAGTTCACATATGTAATACATTTCTCACATGGTTACAGAACCTTTCTGATCTGGCTCTGGTTGACTTTTCCAGCCTTATCTAATTTCTCCTCCCTCCTTCCAACCCTGTTTTTTCCTCCTCCTCTCCTTAGCTACAGCCTTACTAATCTTCCTACCGTGAGCCTCAAACCCACGCTGCTCTCAGGTCTCAGGGCCTATGTACAAGTAATTCCCACTGCCTGGAATCCCTTGCCCTCATTCTTTGTTGGGTCATTCTGCAGACCCAATACTACTTCCTCTTGGGAGACTTTGTCCATCTCCTCTTCCCCCAATCTCCGAACCCCACCAAGACGTCAGTAGTTCTTGAGCAAGCCTCTGCTTAGTTTTCCTGGGATGACCAAAACTAACACTGTCTGATCCGTTGTTCAATACCCAATCCCTAGAACAGAGCTGCAACATAACAGGCACTATAAATGAATGAATGGATAAAGACAGCACTGAAGAACTTGAAATTATAGTTTACACATGTAAACAGTAACATAAATCTGAAGAAATAAAGTTTTTTTTTGTTGTTTTTTCGAGATGGAGTCTCGCTCTGTCACCAGGCTGGAGTGCAGTGGTGCAATCTGGCCTCACTGCAACCTCCGCCTCCCGGGTTCAAGCGATTCCCCTGCCTCAGCCTCAGCGTCCCAAGTAGCTAGGACTCCAGGCACGTGCCACTACGCCTGGTTATTTTTCTTTCTTTCTTTTTATTGTATTTTAGTAGAGATGGGTTTCACTATATTGGCCAAGACGGTCTCAATCTCCTGACCTTGTGATCTGCCTGCCTCATCCTCCCAAAGTGCTGGGATTACAGGCGTGAGCCACCGGGCCTGGCCAAGTTGTTGTTGTTGTTGTTGTTGTTGTTGTTTTTATTATACTCTAAGTTTTAGGTTACATGTGCACATTGTGCAGGTTAGTTACATATGTATACATGTGACATGCTGGTGCGCTGCATCCACTAACTCATCATCTAGCATTAGGTATATCTCCCAATGCTATCCCTCCCCCTCCACCCACCCCACCACAGTCCCCAGAGTGTGATGTTCCCCTTCCTGTGTCCATGTGATCTCATTGTTCAGTTCCCACCTATGAGTGAGAATATGTGGTGTTTGGTTTTTTGATCTTGCGATAGTTTACTGAGAATGATGATTTCCAGTTTCATCCATGTCCCTACAAAGGACATGAACTCCTCATTTTTTATGGCTGCATAGTATTCCCTGGTGTATATGGGCCACATTTTCTTAATCCAGTCTATCATTGTTGGACATTTGGCTTGGTTCCAAGTCTTTGCTATTGTGAATAATGTCGCGATAAACATACATGTGCATGTGTCTTTATAGCAGCATGATTTATAGTCCTTTGTGTATATACCCAGTAATGGGATGTCTGGGTCAAATGGTAATTCTAGTTCTAGATCCCTGAGGAATCGCCACACTGACTTCCACAATGGTTGAACTAGTTTACAGTCCCACCAACAGTGTAAAAGTGTTCCTATTTCTCCACATCCTCTCCAGCACCTGTTGTTTCCTGACTTTTTAATGATTGCCATTCTAACTGGTGTGAGATGATATCTCATAGTGGTTTTGATTTGCATTTCTCTGATGGCCAGTGATGATGAGCATTTTTTTCATGTGTTTTTTGGCTGCATAAATGTCTTCTTTTGAGAAGTGTCTGTTCATGTCCTTCGCCCACTTTTTGATGGGGTTGTTTGTTTTTTTCTTGTAAATTTGTTTGAGTTCATTGTAGATTCTGGATATTAGCCCTTTGTCAGATGAGTAGGTTGCGAAAATTTTCTCCCATGTTGTAGGTTGCCTGTTCACTCTGATGGTAGTTTCTTTTGCTGTGCAGAAGCTCTTTAGTTTAATTAGATCCCATTTGTCAATTTTGTCTTTTGTTGCCATTGCTTTTGGTGTTTTGGACATGAAGTCCTTGCCCACGCCTATGTCCTGAATGGTAATGCCTAGGTTTTCTTCTAGGGTTTTTATGGTTTTAGGTTTAACGTTTAAATCTTTAATCCATCTTGAATTGATTTTTGTATAAGGTGTAAGGAAGGGATCCAGTTTCAGCTTTCTACATATGGCTAGCCAGTTTTCCCAGCACCATTTATTAAATAGGGAATCCTTTCCCCATTGCTTGTTTTTCTCAGGTTTGTCAAAGATCAGATAGTTGTAGATATGCGGCATTATTTCTGAGGGCTCTGTTCTGTTCCATTGATCTATATCTCTGTTTTGGTACCAGTACCATGCTGTTTTGGTTACTGTAGCCTTGTAGTATAGTTTGAAGTCAGGTAGTGTGATGCCTCCAGCTTTGTTCTTTTGGCTTAGGATTGACTTGGCAATGCGGGCTCTTTTTTGGTTCCATATGAACTTTAAAGTAGTTTTTTCCAATTCTGTGAAGAAAGTCATTGGTAGCTTGATGGGGATGGCATTGAATCTGTAAATTACCTTGGGCAGTATGGCCATTTTCACGATATTGATTCTTCCTACCCATGAGCATGGAATGTTCTTCCATTTGTTTGTGTCCTCTTTTATTTCCTTGAGCAGTGGTTTGTAGTTCTCCTTGAAGAGGTCCTTCACATCCCTTGTAAGTTGGATTCCTAGGTATTTTATTCTCTTTGAAGCAATTGCGAATGGGAGTTCACCCATGATTTGGC
Source organism: Homo sapiens (assembly GCF_000001405.40). Lineage (NCBI taxonomy): Eukaryota > Metazoa > Chordata > Mammalia > Primates > Hominidae > Homo > Homo sapiens. Next base: position 56,888,927 of record NC_000024.10, read on the forward strand.
TCTCTGTTTGTCTGTTGTTGGTGTATAAGAATGCTTGTGATTTTTGTACATTGATTTTGTATCCTGAGACTTTGCTGAAGTTGCTTATCAGCTTAAGGAGATTTTGGGCTGAGACGATGGGGTTTTCTAGATAAACAATCATGTCGTCTGCAAACAGGGACAATTTGACTTCCTCTTTTCCTAATTGAATACCCTTTATTTCCTTCTCCTGCCTGATTGCCCTGGCCAGAACTTCCAACACTATGTTGAATAGGAGCGGTGAGAGAGGGCATCCCTGTCTTGTGCCAGTTTTCAAAGGGAATGCTTCCAGTTTTTGCCCATTCAGTATGATATTGGCTGTGGGTTTGTCATAGATAGCTCTTATTATTTTGAAATACGTCCCATCAATACCTAATTTATTGAGAGTTTTTAGCATGAAGGGTTGTTGAATTTTGTCAAAGGCTTTTTCTGCATCTATTGAGATAATCATGTGGTTTTTGTCTTTGGCTCTGTTTATATGCTGGATTACATTTATTGATTTGCGTATATTGAACCAGCCTTGCATCCCAGGGATGAAGCCCACTTGCTCATGGTGGAAAAGCTTTTTGATGTGCTGCTGGATTCGGTTTGCCAGTATTTTATTGAGGATTTTTGCATCAATGTTCATCAAGGATATTGGTCTAAAATTCTCTTTTTTGGTTGTGTCTCTGCCCGGCTTTGGTATCAGAATGATGCTGGCCTCATAAAATGAGTTAGGGAGGATTCCCTCTTTTTCTATTGATTGGAATAGTTTCAGAAGGAATGGTACCAGTTCCTCCTTGTACCTCTGGTAGAATTCGGCTGTGAATCCATCTGGTCCTGGACTCTTTTTGGTTGGTAAACTATTGATTATTGCCACAATTTCAGAGCCTGTTATTGGTCTATTCAGAGATTCAACTTCTTCCTGGTTTAGTCTTGGGAGAGTGTATGTGTCGAGGAATGTATCCATTTCTTCTAGATTTTCTAGTTTATTTGCGTAGAGGTGTTTGTAGTATTCTCTGATGGTAGTTTGTATTTCTGTGGGATCGGTGGTGATATCCCCTTTATCATTTTTTATTGTGTCTATTTGATTCTTCTCTCTTTTTTTCTTTATTAGTCTTGCTAGCGGTCTATCAATTTTGTTGATCCTTTCAAAAAACCAGCTCCTGGATTCATTGATTTTTTGAAGGGTTTTTTGTGTCTCTATTTCCTTGAGTTCTGCTCTGATTTTAGTTATTTCTTGCCTTCTGCTAGCTTTTGAATGTGTTTGCTCTTGCTTTTCTAGTTCTTTTAATTGTGATGTTAGGGTGTCAATTTTGGATCTTTCCTGCTTTCTCTTGTAGGCATTTAGTGCAATAAATTTCCCTCTACACACTGCTTTGAATGTGTCCCAGAGATTCTGGTATGTGGTGTCTTTGTTCTCGTTGGGGAAACCCTTAATCTCATAATTGAACAGATATTGTTCTGGTCGACCATTCTCCATGATAGACACAAATTCTCTATAAAAATTTGAAGCCTGTGGTGGTTCACTGATGGTAACCATAGCAGCAATATATCTCAAATTGAGCCTAACTACTAACTGTAATAATGCAAACCCTCGCACTAAAGGCCTACTAGAAGGAAAGGCGTGTGCATTTCAAGGCATAAAATCTATTTACCTTGGTCTCTATTTCCTACCCAACTTATTCAACTTTCCACAAAATATTATGAGGCATGTGAAAAGGCAAAAAAAAGAATCAACACATTCCCAAAGATACAAGAAATATTCAAAATCAAAATTAGATACGACACAAATTTGGAAACTCTCTGACAGGTAACTTAAAATAACTATGAGTAATTAGTTAAATGTTCCACCAGAAAAAGTGGACAACACACAAGATAGATGGGTAATTTCTGCAGAGAGATCAAAACTATAATAAAGAATCAAATATAAATGCTAGAAATAAAAAACAAAATAACGGAGATGAAGAATGCCTTTGAGGGGCCCAACAGAACTGACACCTCTGAGGACAAAATCCATAGACCTTAAAATATATTAAATTGAAACAAAAATTTAGACCAATAAATTGATTACATTGAGACAAAAAAAGAATGAGGAAAAGAAAACATTCAAGAGCTGTGTGACAATATCAAATGTTCTAACATTCATGTAATTAGAATCACCAAAGAAAAAGAGAGAAAGAATGGGGCAGAAAAAGTATTTTAAAAAATAATGACTGAGAATTTTTTTTAAATTAATGACAAACACCAAATTGCATACCCAAGCTCAGAGTGCACCAAACATGACTTTTTAAAAACCAAACAAATTAGGCATATTTTATTCAAACTGCTGGAAGACAAAAGACAAAGAGAAAATCCTGAAGTCAGAGAAAAGGAAACATCAAACATAGAGAAAAAAGATAATAACAGCAGACTATTTGTCATAAGCCATACAAGTCAGGACACAATGGAATGATCATTTTAACAGGTAGAAAGAATAATTTGTCAACCCAGGATTCTATATCCAGAAAAAAATCTTTTTAAAATGAAGGTGAAATAAAAACTGTATCAGACAAGCAAAAACTGAGATAATTCATTTTCAGAAGACTCATTCTACAAGATAAAGGAAAGTTTTTCAGGCAGAAAGAGTATCATATCAGACTAAAATGTGGGACTACACAAGGAAATAAAGAGTGCTGGAAATGAAGCATAGGAAGGTAAAGTTAAATTATTTTTCTTATTTGTATTGTTCTAAATGATAACTCACTGTCTAAAGAAAAAATATAATAATTTATTGTATATTTATAGCATATATAAAATTAGAAGTTGTGCTAACAAAAGCACAATGGATGGGAGGGAGCAATTGGGAATGTACAGTTGTAAAAGCCTTACACTTCATGTGAAGTAGGAGAATAATATTTGCTGGTAGACTGTGATTTTTTGAATGTGTATCATAAACTCTGGGAAGGCACTAAATTTTTATTTAAAATGTCATTAAGAGAAGATAAAGCAGAATTTTTAAATGCTCAAATAACACAAGAGAAGGCAGAAAAGGAAGAATAATGAAACACAGATGAAATATAACAAATAGAAAACAGCTAAGAAAATGGTAGATTTTAATCCAACCATATCAATAATCACATTAAGTGTAAATATTCTGAAGACACCAATTTAAAGGCAGTATCAGATTGGATTTAAAAATAATCAAGACCCAACTATACGTTGTCTACAAGAAACTCACTTTAACTGTAAAGGTATAGATATGTTGAAAGTAAAAGAGTGGAGAAATACATATAATGCAAACACTAGCTGAAACAAAACTAGAATAGCTATGCTAATATTAGACAAAAATAAACTTCAGAAAAGGAATATTAACAGGGATATAGAGAGACATACATGATGATGAAGGGATCAACTCTCCAAAAGACATAATCCAAAAGACATAATGCTCTTTACAACATAGTACTATGTACATAGCACATAGTATATGAAGCACTTTAAATTACTGAAATTGAAGAATACAGAAATCCACAATTATAGCTGAACACTTCGACAATTCTGTCAACAGCTAGTAGAACGAATAAACAGAAAATTAACAAGGATATAGAAGATCTGAACAGCACTAACAAGAACTAATTGACATTTATAAAACATTCCACCCAACAAAAGCAGAATACAATTTCTTTTCAAATGTGTGTGGAATATTCACCAATGTAGACCATACTTAGGGTCATAAGACAAACCTCAGCAAATTTAAAAGAATATTCATCATATAAAGTATGTCCTCAGATTGCAGTAGAATTAAACTGGAAATCAATAACAGATAATCTGGAAAAATTCCCAACTTTTTTGTAAATTGAACAACATCCATCTAAGTCACCCAATGATCAGAGAAGAAATATGAAAGGGAATTTTAAAATATTTTGAACTGAATGAAGATGAAAATGCCACAGATAAAACTTTGCATGGTGTAGCTACATTAGTTAGCTTAGAGGGAAATTTATATTTTTAAATTCTTATATTAGGAAATAAGTCTTACATAAATAATCTCAGCTTCCACCTAAGAAGTTCAAAATAAACCCACAGTAAGCAGAAGAAAGGAAATAATAAAGCTGAGAAAAAATCAATAAAGTTTAAAAGAGAAAATTAATAGATATCAATGGAACAAAAGTTGCCTTTTTAAAAATATCAACAAAATTGATAGACCTTTAGCCAGAATGATCAAGAAAAAAAAAATCAAGAAGACAATTACCAATATCAGGAAAGAATAATTCCCATTTAACTAAAGACCACACATACATTAAAAAGATGAAGGAATATTAAGAACAACTTTATATTCACAAATGGAACAATTTAGATGAAATGGGCTAAATCCCTGGGAGGCGCGAACTACAAAAACTCATCCAAGAAGAAATAACCATAGCAATGGTACATCTATTTTAAAATTTTAATCTGTAGTTAAAATTTTCCATAAAAGAACACCGTAGGCCCATATTATTTCATTGGTACATTCTCCCAAATACTTATGGGATGATCTTTTAAAAGAAACAATTTATGGTTTAAATGATTTTCTTCTACTTCTATTACATTTTTTCTTTTCTATTTCATTGATTTGTGCTCTGATTTTATTTCTTTTCTTTCCTTTCCTTGCTTTAGGTTTAATTTGCTCTTGTTTTTCTAGTTTCTGAAGGTGGAAGTTTAGATTATTGATTTGCAATGTTTCTTCATTATGATAAAGAGTTTAAAGTATAAATTTTTTTCCAAGCACTGCTTAAGGGGCATACCATAAATTTCGATACGTTTTGTTGTCATTTTCCTCCAGTTAAAATGCATTATAACTTTCCTTGTGATTTCTTTTATTTATGGATCGTTTGGAAGTGTAGTTGAATATTTCCAAATATTTGGGGAGCTCTAAATTTCTTTCTGTTGTTTATTTCTAATCTAATTTGTTGTCAGAGAACATAGATTTGTTTTGAACCTTTTGAATTTATTGAGACTTGGTTTGTGGCCTATTATATGGTCTATACCGTAGAATGTTTCATGTTTGCTTCAATAAAATGTGTATTATGTTGTTATTGTGTAAAATGTTCTAAAATGTCAGGTCACACTGGTGTTGTTCAAGTTTTCTCTTCATCTTTACTAATATCTATTTGTCCTAGCAATTATTAAGATTTTTGAAATCTCTGCTGCTTTTTTCAATTCTTTCAGATTTTGCTTTATGTGTATTAGGGCTCTGTTGTTAGGTGGGAATGCATTTATAATTGTTACATATTTATGATTATGAACTGGTCCCTTTATTTCTAATACTCTTTCTTGTCTTAAAGTCTATGTACTCATATCAATATAGCCATTTCAACTCCTTATGTTTATAACATGCATGGTATGTATTTTTCCATCCTTTTACTTTCAAACTCCTTGTATCTTTAATCTAAAATATGTCTCCAGCAAATAGCATATAGTTGGATTTTGCTTTTTCACCTAGTTTGATAATATCCACCTTTTGATTAGAGTATATTATTTATTCATATTTAATTTAATAAAGATATGATTAGATTTACATGTGATCTTTGCTAATATTTTCTACATGTGTCATATCTTTTTTGTTCCTCTTCTACTAGCTCCTTTTTAGTTGAATATTTTATAATATACAATTTTAATTCTTCTGTTGAGTTTTTAATTCTATTTTTGAGCTATTTTGTTAATGGCTGCTCCAGGGATTACAATATGGCTCTTAATTTATCAGTCTCTACTTTGCATAGTCATCTGGTATGTGTTTCCTTCAGCTCAAAGAGTTCCTTTCAAACTTCTTATAGGGCTGATCTCTTAGCAGTGAATTTTCTCACTCTTTGTTTATGTGACACTGTATTTATTTTGCCTTCACTTTTGAAAGATAATTCTGAATAACATAGTATTCTTGCTCAACAGATTTTTTTCTCTCAGCACTTTGAATATATAATCCCACTGCCTTCTGGCCTCCATTGATTCTGATGAAATGCAAGCCATTAACAGTCATTCCCTTATACATGATGAGTTATCTCCTGCTGCTTTCTAAATTATTTTCTTTGCCTTTGTTACTTAGCATCTTGACTAGGATGTGTCCAGGTGTGGCTGTTTGTATTTATCTTATATGGCATTTGCTGAGCTTCTTTGACGTGTAGATTAATGCTTCTCATCAAATTTGAGAAGTTGTTATTTTTGCTTCAATCTTTCTTCATATTTTTTATTTTTAATTTCTGTACATAGCAGGTATATATATTTATGTGGTACATGAGATATTTTGGTACAGATAGCTAATGCATAATAATCACATCATGGAAAATCAGTATTCACCCCATCAAGCATTTATCCTTTGTGTTACAAACAATCTAATTATACTCTTTTTAGTTATTTTAAAATGTACAATTAGGTTATTATTGACTCTAGTTCCCCCATTGTTATGCTATCAAATACTAGAAGTTACTCATTCTAACTATTTTTTGGTACCCATTAACCATCCCCACCTTTTCCCTATTAACGACTACAATTTGAGGCTCTGGTATCCATTCTTCTATACTCTATCTCCATTAGTTCAATGACTAATGACTGCCAGTTCCATCCATGTTGTTGCAAATGACAGGATCTCATTATTTTTTATGACTGAATAATACCTCATTGTGTATATGTACATTTTCTTTATCCATTTATCAGTTGAGGGACACTTAGGTTGCTTCCAAATCTTGGCTATTGTGAACAGTGCTGCAACAAACATGAGGGTGCAGATGTCTCTTTGATATACTGATTTCTTGTCTTTTGGGCATATACCCAGCAATGGGATTGCTGGATTGTATGGTAGCTCTATTTTTAGATTTTGGAGGAACCTCCAAACTGTTCTCCATAGTTGTTGTACTAATTTACATTCCCGCCAACAATGTATAAAGGTTCCCTTTTCTCCACACCCTCACTAGCATCTGTTATTGTCTGTCTTTTGGATATAAGCCATTTTAAGTGGGGCGAGAGGAGAATGTTGTTTAGATTTGCATTTATCTGATGAGCAATGATGCTGAGCCCTTTTTCATATTCCTGTTTGCATTTGTATGCCTTCTTTTGAGAAATGTCTTCAAGTCTTTTGCCCATTTTTAAATCAGATTTTTATATTTTCTTCTATAGAGTTGTTTGAGCTCCTTATTTATTCTGATTATCAATTCCTTGTCAGATGAGTAGTTTGCAAATATTTTCTTCCATTCTGTGGGTTGTCTCTTCACTTTGTTGATTGTATTCTTTGCTGTGCAGTAGCTCTTTAACTTGATGTGATCCCAGTTTTCCATTTTTGCTTTGGTTGCCTGTGCTTGCAAGGTAATTCTCAAGAAATTTTTGCCCAGACCAATGTCCTGGAGAGTTCTCCCAATGTTTTCTTGTAGTAGTTTCATAAGTTTAGTCTTAGATTTAAGTATTTAATCCATTTGGATTTGGTTTTGTATAAGGTGAGAGATGGGTTCTAGGTTCATTCTTCTGCTTATGTATATCCACTATTCCCCTCAGCATTTATTGAAGAGACTTCCTTTTCCCCAATGTATGTTCTTGGCACTTTTACAGAAAGTGAGTTCACTGTAGGTATGTGGATTTGTTTCTGGGTTCTCTATTCTGTTCCATTGGCCTATGTGTATATTCTTATGCGAGTACCATGCTGTTTTGATTACCATAGCTCTGTAATATAATTTGAAGTCAGGTAATATAATTCCTCCAGTTTTCTTCTTTTTGCTCAAAATAGATTGGGCTACTTTGGGTCTTTTGTGGTTCTATATAAATTTTAGAATTGCTTTTTTTTATTTCTGTGAAGAATATCACTGGTATTTTGATACGGATTGCATTGAATCTGTAGATTGCTTTGGGTAGTATGAACATTTTGACAACATTGATTCTTCCAATCCATAAACATAGAATATCTTTCCATTTTTTGTGCGTACTCTTCAATTTCTTTCATCAGTGTTTTACAACTTTCATTGTAGAGATCTTTAACTTCTTTGGTTAAGTTAATTTCTAGGTATTTAAATTTTTGTGTGGCTATTGTAAATGGGATTACTTTTTGATTTTTTTCAGATTGTTTGCTGTTGGAATATAGTAATGCCATTGAGTTTTGTATGTTGATTTTGTATCCTGCAATGTTACTGAATGTGTTTTATCAGTTCCAATAGGTTTCTTATGGAGTCTTTAGGTTTTTCCAAATATAAGATCATATCATCTGCAAACAGGGATAATTTAACTTCTTCCTTTCCAATTTGGAGGTCCTTTATTTCTTTCTCTTGTCTGATTGCTCTAGCTAGGACTTCCAATACTATGTTGAATAACAGTGGCAAAAATAAGCATCCTTGTCATGTTCTGATCTTAGAGGAAAAGCTTTCAACTTTTCCCCATTCACTATAATACTAGCTGTGGGTCTGTCATCTATGGCTTTTATTATGTTGAAGTATGTTCCATCTATATACCTAGGTTTTTTTAGGGTTTTTCTTTATCATGAAGGGATGTTGAATTTATCAAATCTTTATTAAGCGTTTATTTTAATGATCATATGGTTTTTGTCCTTCATTCTGTTGCTGTATCACATTGATTGACTTGCATATGGTGAACCATTCTTGCATTCCTGGGATAAATCCCACTTGGTCATGATAAATGATCTTCTCAGTGTGTTGTGCAACTTGGTTTGCTAGTATTTTGTTGAAGAATTTGCATCAATATTCATCAGGGATGTTAGCCTATAGTTTTCTTTTATTGATGCATATTTGTCTAGTTTTGATATCAGAGTAACACTGGCATCATAGAATGAGTTTAGAAGTATTCCCTCTTTATTTTTTAAAATAGTTTGAGTAGGATTGGTATTAGTTCTTTGAATGTTTGGTAGAATTCAGCAGTGAAGCCAATGGGTCCCAAACTTTTCTTTACTGGGAGACTTTTTATTACAGATTCTTCTAGTTACTTGTTATTGGTCTGTTCAGGTTTTGGATTTCTTCATGATTCAATCTTGGTAGGTTGTATATATCTAGGAATTTATCCATTTATTCTAAATTTTCCAATTTATTGGCATATAGTTGCTCATAGTAGCTGCTAGTGATCCTTTGAATTTCTGTGGTATCAGTTGCTATGTCTTTGTGTTTCATCTCTGATTTTATTTATTTGGGCCTCTCTCTTTTTTCTTATTTAGTCTGGCTAAAAGTTTGTGAATTTTGTTTACCTTTTTTGAAAACCAACTTTTGTTTCATTGACCTTTTGTATTGTTTTGTTCATTTCAGATTAATTTATTTCTGTTCTGATCTTTATTATTTCTTTTTACTATTTTTTTTTTGCTATTTATTTTTACTTTATTATTTCTTTTTATCTATTTACTAATTTTGGGATCGGTTTGTTCTTGGCTTTCTAGCTCTTTAAGATGCATCTTTAGGTTGTTTTTTTGAAGCTTTTCTTCTTTTTTGTTGTAGGGACTTATAGCTATAAATTTTTCTCTAGTACTGCTTTTGCTGTATCCCTTAGGTTTTGGTATGTTGTGTTTCCATTATCATTTCTTTCAAAAACTTTTTGAATTTTCTTCTTAATTTCATCATTGACCAACTGATCATTCAGGAGCATATCATTTAATTTCTGTATGTTTATATAGTTTCCAAAATTTCTCTTGTTATTTATTTATAGTTTTATTCCATTGTGATGCTTGATATTATTTCAAGTTTTTGCATGTTTTAAGATTTGTTTTGTTACCTAACATATGATCTATCATTGTGAATGATTTATGTTTTGAGGAGAAAAATGTGCATCCTGCAGTTGTTGGATGAAATGTTCTATAAATATCCATTAGGTTCATTTGTTCTATAGAGCATAATTAGTCCATGTTTCTTTGTTGATTTTCTGTCTGGGAGATTTGTCCAATGCTTAAAGTGGGGTATTGAAGCCTTCAGCTATTATTGTATTGGGGTCTATCTCTCTTTAGCTCTAATAATATTTGCTTTGTATATCTGGGTGCCCCAATATCAGGTACATATGTATTTACAATCATGTTCTCTTGCTGAATTGGCCCCATAATCATTATATGATGACCTTTGTCTCTTCTTACAATTTTTGTTGTGAGGTCTACTTTGTCTGATATATGTATAGCTACTTCTGCTCTTTTTGGTTTCATTGGCATGGAATATCATTTTCCATTTCTTTGTTTTCAGTCTATATGTATCTTTATAGGTGAAGTGTGTTTATTGTAGGCAACAGATCATTGGGTCTTGTTTTTTAATTTATGCAGCCATTCTGTTTTTTAATTGGAGAGTTTAGTCTATTTACATTCAATGTCCTTATTAATAAGTAGAGACTTACACCTGCCATTTTGTTATTTGTTTTCTGGTTGTTTTGTGATCTCTTCCTTCTTTCATTCCTTCCTGTCTTGAAAAGGTGATTTTCTCTGGTGGTATAATTTAATTTCTTGTTTTTTATTTTTTGTGTCTGTTATATGTTTTTCAATTTGAGGTTACCATGAGGCCTGCAGATACTATCTTATATCCCATGATTTTAAACTGCTGACAATTTAACTCTGATTGCATAAACAAACATACATGCAGAAAGAAAACTAATACAAACTCTACACTTTAACTTCATCCCCTTGCTTTTTAATTTTTTGTTGTTTCCCTTTATGTCTTACTGTACTGTCTGTGTCTTGAAAAGTTGTTTTGGTTATTATTTTTGATTGGTTCATCATTTAATCTTTCTTTTTTTAATTTTACTTTAAGTTCTGGGATACACATGTAGAACGTGCAGGTTTGATACATAGGTATACATGTGCCATGGTGGTTTGCTGCACCTATCAACCCGTCATTATTTATTCTTTCTATGTAAGTTAAGAGAAGCTTACACACCACTTACAGTGTTGTACTATTCTGTATTTTTCTGTGTGCATACTATTACCAGTGAGTTTTGTACCTTTAAATAATTTCTCATTAATGCCCATTAATGTCTTTTTCTTTCAGATTGAGGTACTCCCTTTAGCATTTTTTGTAGGACAGGTCTGGAGTTGATTAAATCTCTCAGCTTTTGTTTGTCTGGGAATGTATTTCTCCTTCATGCTTTAAGGATATTTTCACTGGATATACTATTCTAGGGTAAAAGGTTTATTGTTTCAACACTTATATCATGCCACTCCCTCCTTGCCTGTAAGGTTTCCACTGAAAAGTCTGCTGCCAGACATATTGAAGCTCTATCATATGATATTTCTTTTCTCTTGCTGCATTTAGGCTCCTTTCTTTATCCTTGACCTTTGAGAGTTTGATTGTTAAATGCCTTGAGGTAGTCTTTGGGTTAAATCTGCTTAGTGTTGTATAAGCTTCTTGTGCTTGAATGTTATCTTTCTCTAGGTTTGGGACATTCTGTCATATAATGTCTTTGAAAAAAACTTCCTACTCATAGCTCTTTCCCTACCTTCTCTTTAAGGCCAATAACTCTTAGATTTGCCCTTTTGAGACTATTTTCCAGATCTGTAGGCATACTTCATTTTTTTATTCTTTTTTATTTTGTCTCCTCTGACTTTGTATTTTCAAATAGCCTGTCTTCAAGCTCACTAATTCTTTCTTCTGCTTCATCAATTCTGCTATGAAGAGACTCTGATGCATTCTTCAGCATGTCAGTTGCATTTTTAACTCTAGAATTTTTGCTTGATTCTTTTTAAGTTTTTAAATCTTTGTGTTAAATTTATCTGATAGAATTCTGAAGTTCTTCTTTATGTTTTTTTGAATTTCTTTGAGTTTCCTTAAAACAGCTATTTTGAATTCTCTGTCTGAAAGGCCAGATATCTGTTTCTCCAGGATTGATCCCTGATGCCTTATTTACTTCATTTGATGAGATTATGTTTTCTTTTCCTGGATGGTGTTGATGCTTGTAGATGTTCTTCAGTGTCTGAGTGTTGAAGTGTTAGGCATTCATTGTAGTCTTCAAAATACGGGCTTGTTTCTGTCTGTCCTTCTTAGGAAGACTTTCCAGGTATTCAAAGGGATTTGGACCCCAAGTCCAATAATGCTTTCACTTTTGCAGACTCATAGAGGTACCACCGTGGTGGTCTTAGATAAGATCTGGAAGAATTATCTGTACTACCAGGCAGAGACTCATTCTTTTTCCTTACTTTCTCCCAAACATATGGCATCTCTTTTTCTCTGTGTTGAGCCACCTGGAACTGGGAGTGTGGTGATGCAAGCATCCCTGTGGCCACCACTAGAGGAACTGTGCTGGGTCAGACCTGAAGCCAGAACAGCACTGGGCCTTACCCAAGGCCCTTCCCTTCAGTGTGGCAAGTTTTTTCAGGCCCCAGGCATGTCTAGAGATGCTGTTTGGGAACCAGGGATTGGAGTCAAAAAATGTAGCAATTTACCTGATGTTCTATTCTACTGTGGCTAAGATGGCACTCAAACCACAATACAAAGTACTTCCTGCTCTTCCCCCAACTTTTCCCAAGCAGAGGAGCCTCTCTCTGTGGCCACCAACACCACCAGTCCACGGGGGATTCTGCCAGCCCACCACCAATGTTTGCGTAAAGCCTAAGGACTTCCATCAGCTTATGGTGAATGCTGCCATTCCTGGGACTCATCTTTCAGGGCAGTGAACTCCTCTCTGGCCCAGAGCAGGTCCAGAAATGCTGTCTAAGAGCCTAGGCCAGTACTTAGGGACTCCAACAGTGTGATTGTTGCTCTACCCTCACTGTGGCTGAGCTAGTACCTGGGGTGCAAGACAAAGTCCCCTTTACTTTTTCCTCTGCTTTTCTCAAACAGAAGGAGTCTTTCACTATAGCCACCACAGCTGGGAATGTGCTGGGTCTCCCCTGAAGTCAGCATATCTCAGAGCCCAAGGTCCATGGCATACTTCCTGGGTATCACTGGTGGTTGTTCGTGGCCCAAGGGCTTTTTAGTCAGCAGGTGATAAATCCTGCCAGGACTGGGTCCTTCCCTTCAAGACAGCAGATTTCCTTTTGGCTCAGGGTGTGTCTAGAAATGTTGTCTGGGAGGTAGGGCCTGGAATGGGTGCCTCACAACTCTGCCTGGTGCCTTATCTTGATGTAGCTGAGCTAGTATCTAAGTTGCAAGACAAAGTCCTCTTTACTCTTCCCTCTCATCTTCAAATGGAAGGAAGGAGTCTCTTTCTGAGTTGTGAGCTGCACTGCCTGTGATTGGATGAGAAGTAGTGCAAGAACTCCCCCAGCTGCCCCAGCTGGTGTCTCACTAGATTGTGTGCCCCCTAAGTCCACTGGCTCTGAGCCCAGTTCAGCACTAGAACTCGCCTAGGAGTTACAGTCCTCATGTCCTTTCAAGGACCCTATTGCACTTCAGCCAGTGGTGGCAAGGCTTGACAAGAAACCCAAGTTCCAATTGCTGGGATACATGATACTGCTCTAGCTAAGGCTGGTCCAAATGTTCCCTCCATGCACAGGTGCTGGCTGAGCCCAGCATGTCTTTATTCTCCATTGTGACAGGGCAGCACTGAGTTTAATGTAAATTCCCCCAGTCGCTGTGCTTGCCCTCCCCAAAGTGCAAAGATTCTCTCACTGTGACACATGGCCACTGCCAGGGGATGGAGGAGGGGTGGCATCAATGATTCAAGACTGTCTCTCTTGCCCTCCTCAATGCCTCTTTCCATAATAAGAAGTTAAAACCAGGTACCGTGATTGCTCATCTGATTTTTGGTTCTTGTGATGGTGCTTTTCTGTGTGAAGATAATTGTTAAAATTTGGTGTTCCAGCAGGGGGGATGAACAGTGTAGGCTTCTATTCCACAATCTTTCTTGCCCCTGCTTTAATCTTTTTCTCTGAATTCTTCATATTAGATAATTTCTATCACTCTGTCTTTAGGTTCACTGATTCCTTCCTTTGCCATCCCAAAGATGTTGTGGAACCCATTTACAGCAGTTTTTCTTTTGGGAATCATACTCTTCAACCCTATACTTTTTATTTTGTTCTTTATGTTTTATTTCCTTATTGATATTTTCTATCTGTTGGATCATTGTCATTTAGTTTCATCTAGTTCTTTAAAGATTGCTTCCTTCAATTCTTTGAAGTCACTGTCTGCTAAATCCAACATACAGTTTCTGCTTTAACTCCTGATTATGGGCTTCATTTTGCTGTTTTCCCACACATCTCTTAATTTTTCTTGAAACCTAACTTTTTTAGGTAATATATTTCATCAACTTAATTCTGGCTCTTTCCCTCAATGTTATGTTTTCTTTTTACTTTTTTGTTTTTCTTTTTGTATTTTAATAATTTGCCTGGCCTTAATCTGCAGAATCTGTCTTCCCCGTGCTGTGTACCCACTGATGTCTCTGTTCATTTTTTTAATCATAACTTTTTTTTAATCCTGGTTTTCTATGAATTGCCCCTGTGATTGCACAGCTCAGTGGTCAGCAAATGATTCGACAAAATATGTGTTCAAATAACTGTAGTCCATAAGTCTTCCACTCTCTTTCAATGTACGTTTTTAAGATATCATTGGCCAGGCATGGTGGCTCACACCTATAATCCCAGCACTTTGGGAGGCTGAGGCGGGCGGATTGCCTGAGCTCAGAAGTTCAAGACCAGCCTGGGCAACACGGTGAAACCCTGTTTCCACTAAAATACAAAATATATATATATATATATATATATATATATAGCTGGGCGTGGCAGCATGCGCCTGTATTCCCAGCTACTCGGGAGGCTGAGGCAGGATAATTGCTTGAACCCGGGAAGCAGAGGTTGCAGTGAGCCGAGATCACACCACTGCACTCCAGCCTGGGTGACAGAGTGAGACTGTCAAAAAAAAAAAAAAGATATCATCAACTTTTATTTTTTTGCTGGGCCTTCTCAGATTTACCCTGTCTATGCTTGTTATCTTCCCAATCAGCCAAGGATGTATGGAGAGCTTAAGTAGCCCGTCTATAGCTCTCACATTATAAGAATATTCCCATTACATTTCTAGTTTACTTGCTACTCACCTCAACAAGGACTACAACATCAGGCTAGCTAAGCTGTAGGTCATCCCTCTTGTTTACTACCTTTTTAAAAATACTTTAAGTTCTGGGATACACGTGCAGAACATGCAGGTTTGTTACATAGGTATACACATGCCATGGTGGTTTGCTGCACCCATCAACCTGTCATCTAGGTTTTAAGCCCCACATGCATTAGGTATTTGTCCTAATGCTCTCCCTCCTCTTGCCCCCCACCCCCTGACAGGCCCCGGTGTGTGATCTTCCCCTCCCTGTGTCCACATGTTCTCATTGTTCAACTCCCACTTTTGAGTGAGAACATGTGGTGTTTGGTTTTCTGTTCCTGTGTCAGTTTACTGAGAATGACGGCTTCCAGCTTCATCCATGTCCCTGGAAAGGATATGAACTCATCCTTTTTTATGGCTGCAGGGTATTCCATGGTTATAAGTGCCACATTTTCTTTATCCAGTCTATCATTGATGGGCATTTGGGTCGGTTCCAAGTCTTTGCTATTGTAAATAGTGCTTCAATAAACATATGTGTGCATGTGTCTTTATAGTAGAATGATTTTATTGGCAAACTGCTGAGTGTAGGTCCTGCCCTATGCTCCAAGTCAAGCCAGCATCTTCTGTCAGTGAAACTTTGGTTTTCCCAGCCAGAATATCATAGTAAAACTACCATGCTGATTGAGCTGAATGGGAGTGGCCTCAAGCAAGAAAGCTGCAGACTCCCACTGTTTTTACTGGAATTTATAGCAGATTTTCATAAATAATTGCTTCTCTATTTTTTGTTTTCCTTTTTTCAATTTCCAGAGCCCTGTAATGTCCAGTTAATACTTGTTTTGTCAGGAGAGGATTTGCTGAAGGCTTCACTCTGCCACAACTGAAAGTCTTATGATCTAAAAAGTTTTTAAATACGATTTGATAAAAATTCATTTGGGAGTATAAATGTGTAAGAATATCCAAGAAAAATCTTGACAAAAAAAGATTGTGTTCAGAAAAATACCACCCTCCCAGATAGCACTGTGCCCCATAACTATGTATAATTTTTGTGTTAATTATAAAT
Organism: Homo sapiens; assembly: GCF_000001405.40. Taxonomy (NCBI): domain Eukaryota; kingdom Metazoa; phylum Chordata; class Mammalia; order Primates; family Hominidae; genus Homo; species Homo sapiens. Next base: position 56,904,914 of record NC_000024.10, read on the forward strand.
AAAATAAAACTTTAAAAATTATAAAACTACAATAGCAGAAAACATATGAGCCTGACACAGACATAAACAAATTAATCAAATAAAATAGTTTCTAGAAACATACCTGTATGCCTGTGGGAATTTAATATGCAATAAATATGGCATATAAAATCAATGAGACAAAAGGGTGTTTGAACAATTAACCGGGCATTTCGAATACAAAATAAAGACACACCACAGATACAAATATAATCATATTAATAAATATGACATTTCAAATCAATGGATAAAAGTGTTTGAACAATTGGCTATTTATTTAGAAATTTTATAAAGATACCAAAGAGAAACAAACACACTCTGATGTATTAAATATTTAAATGTAAAGTATAAGATCATTTAAAAAATAAATTGAGATAGGAAAGGCTTTCTGAAGCCAAACGCAAAATCTGGAAACCATATAGGAAAATATTGACAGATATAAAAATGAAACATGATAGGTAAGTTATAAAATAAGCAATGAGGATTTCTAGGAGCAAGATGATGAAATAAAAGTCTCCACCAATCATTCACCCCACAAGGACACCAATTTAAAAACTATCTACACAGAAAAAGCACCTTCATAAGAACCAAAAATCAAGTGAGTACTCACAGTACCTGGTTTAGCTGAAAGAGGCACTGAAGAGGTAGAAAAAACAGTCTTGAATCACTGATGCCACCACCCCCACAATGTGCCCTGGCAGCTATTAATAGCTGCAGCATGCTGCAGAGAGCATTTTTGTGCACTGGGGGAGGGAGAGCCCAGTAATTGTGAGGCATTGAGTTTCGTGCTGTCCTGTTATAGCAGAAAACAAACCAAATCAAACTCAGCTGATGCCCGCCCATGGAGGGAGCATTTAAACCAGCCCTGGCCAGAGGGAAATCACCAGCCCTAATGGTCTAAACATGAGTTGTGCAAGCCTTGCTACAGTGGGCTATAGTGCTCTGGGGCTCTAAATAAACTTGAAAGACAGTCTAGGCCACAAGGACAGCAACCTCTAGGCGAGTCCTAGTGCTGAACTGGGCCTAGAGACAATGGACTGGGGAGCGTGTGACCTACTGAGACACCAGCTGAGGCAGCTAAGGGAGTGCTGGTATCACCCCTCCCCTAACCCCTAACCCCTGGCTGCACAGTTGACAGCTCCAAAAGAGACCCCTTCCTTCCACCTAAGGAAAGGATAGGAAATAGTGGGGAGGACTTTGTCTTGCATCTTGGATATCAGCTCAGCCACAGCAGGATAGGGCATTGGTCAGAGTCACAAGACCCCTTTTCAGGGCCTAGCTCCCAGACGACAATACTAGACACACCCTGGGCCAGAAGGAAGGTCACTGCCTTCAAGGGAAGGACCCAGTCCTGGCAGCATTCATCACCTGCTAATTAAAGAGCCCTGAATAATCAGCAGTAATCCCCAGGTACTACACTGAAGGATTTGGCTTCAGGTGAGACTCAAGACATTCCCGGCTGTGGTGGCTATGGGGCAACTCCTTCTGCTTGAGAAGAGCAGAGGGAAAAGTAAAGGGGAGTTTCCCTTGCTCCGGAGGTACCAGCTCAGCCACAAGGGGGTGAAGCACCAAATGGGCTCTTGGAGTCCCCAGTTCCAGGACTTGGCTCTTTGATGGCATTTCTGGACCTGCCCTGGGTCAGAGGGGAGCCCATTGCCCTGCAGGGTAAGTCCCAGACCAGGCAGCATTTACTACAAGCTGACAGAAGAGCCCTTGGGCTCTAAGTGAACATTGACAGTAGTCTGACAATACTCCTCATGGGCCTGTGATCGTGTTGGCCACAGGGTGGGGCTCCTTTGAATTTGGAAACGGGAGGGAAGAGTGGGAAGGACCGTGTCTAGTTGACTGTGTACAGCTCAGTCGCAGTACAATAGAACACCATTAGACTTCCAAGGTTTTTGAATCTAGTCCCTGGCTGCCAGACAGCATCTCTGGGCCTCCCTGGGGCCTGGGGGATCTCATCCTACCTTGAAGGGAAGGACACAGGCCTGTCTGGTTTTGCCACCTGCTGATTGTAGAGACCCATGGTCTTGAGCAAGCATAGGCATTAGCCAGGTAGTAGTTATAGCAGGCCTTGGTCAAGACCCCGTGCTGTACTGGCTTCAGGTCTGACCCAGTGCAGTCACAGTGGTGGTGACCACAGGGGTGCTTGTGTCATGCCACCCCCAGCTTCAGGTGGCTCAGAACACAGAGAGAGAGAGACTCTATTTGAGAAAGTAAGGGAGAACAGGAGTTTCTGCCTAGTAATCTAGAGAATTCTTCCAGATCTTGTCCAAGACCATCAAGGCAGTATATCTAAAAGTCTGCAAGAACCACAGTGTTACTGCTGCCCCCTAAAGTGGATACAGCTTAGATCACAACCCCCAAGTCTTACCAATATCTGGAAAGCCTTCCCAAAAAGGTTGGGTATAAAGAAGCTCAGATTGTGAAGACTACAATAAGTACCCAACTCTTCAATGCCCAGACACAGACAAACATCTACAAGTATCAAAACAATCCAGGAAAACATGGCCTCACTAAATGAGCTAAATAAGGCACTAGGGACCAATCCTGGAGAAACAGAGATATCTGACTTTTCAGACAGATAATTCAAAATTGCTGTTTTGAGGACTCTCAAATAAATATGAGATAACACAGAGAAGGAATTCAGAATTATATCAGATAAACTTAACACAGATATTGAAATAATTTTAAAGAATCAAGAAGAAATTCTGGAGCTGAAAAATGCAGTAGGCATACTGAAGAATGTACCAGAGTCTTTCCATAACAGAATTGATCAGGCAGAAGAAAGAATTAGTAGTGAGCTTGAAGACAGGCTATTTGAAAATGCACAGTCAGAGAAACCAAAATAAAAAAAGAATAAAAACAATGAAGCATACTTACAGGATCTAGAAAATAGCCTGAAAAAGGCAAATCTAAGAGTTATTGATCTTAAAGAGGAGGTACAGGGGTAGGGGAGGGTAGAAAGTTTATTCAAAGGGATAGTAACAGAGAACCTCCCAAACCTAGAGAAAGATATCAATATCCAAGTACAAGAAAGTTATAAAATACCCAGAAGATTTAACCCAAAGAAGACTACCTCAATGCATTTAATAATCAAACTCCCAAAGGTCAAGGATAAAGAAAGGATCCTAAAAGTAGCAAGAGAAAATAAACGAATAACATACTATGGAGCTCCAATAACCTGGCAGCAGACTTTTCAGTGGAAAGCTTACAGGTTAGGAGAGAGTGGCATGATATATTTAAAGAGCTGAAGGAAAAAAAAAAACTTTATCCTAGAATAGTGTATCTGGCAAAAATTATCCTTCGAACATGAAGGAGAAATAAAGGCTTTCCAAGACAAACAAAAACTGAGGAACTTCATCAACACCAGACCTGTCCTAGAAGAAATGCTAAACAGGGTAATTCAATCATAAAGAGAAGGATGTTAACGAGCAATAAGTAATCACCTGAAGGTACAAAACTCACTAGCAGTAGTAGGTACACAGAAAAACACAGAATATTATAACACTGTAACTGTGGTGTGTAAACTACCCTTGTCCTAAGTAGAAAGAATAAATGATGGACCAATCAAAAACAATAACTACAACAACTCTTCAAGACATAGACAGTACAATAAGATATAAATAGGAACAAAAAAAATTAAAAAGCACGGGAACAAAGTTAAGGTATAGAGTTTTTATTAGTTTTCTCTTTGCTTGTATGTTCATTTATACAATAGTGTTTAGTTGTTATCAGCTTAAAATAATGGGTTATAAGCTAGTATTTACAAGTCTCATGGTAACCTGAAATCAAAAGACATAAAAAAATACACTAAAAATAAAAGCATGGCCAGGCACAGTGGCTCACGCCTGTAATCTCAGCACTTTGGGAGGTTGAAGCGGCGGATCACTTGAGGTCAGGGGTTCGAAACCAGCCTGGCCACAGGGTGAAACCCCATCTCTACTAAAAATAGAAAACTTAACTGGGTGTGGTGGCACATGCCTGTGGTCCCAGCTACTCAGGAGGCTGAGGCAGGAGAATCACTTGAACCCAGGAGGTGGAGGTTGCAGTGAGCCAAGATCATGCCTCTGCACTCCAGCCTGGGTGACAGAATGAGACTCTATCTCAAAAATAAATTAATTAATTAAAGCAAGAAATTAAATCATATTAACCGAGAAAATTAACCTTCACATGAAAGAACACACGAAGGAAAGAAGGATGAGAACATCACAAAACAACCAGAAAACAAATAACAAAATGACAGGAGTAAGTCCTTACTTATCAAACATAACATTGAAAATAAATGGACTAAACTCTCCAATCAAAAGACATAGACTGGCTGAATGGATAAAAAAAGTAATATCCTTTGATCTATTGGCTACAAGAGAAACACTTCACCATATATATATATATAAGTTCTAGGGTACATGTGCACAACGTGAGGTTTGTTATATAGGTATACATGTGCCATGTTGGTTTGGTGCAACCATCAACTCATCATTTACATTAGGTATTTCTCCTAATGCTATCCTTCCCCCAGCCCCCCACCCCCTGACAGGCCCCGGTGTGTGATGCTCCCCGCCCTGTGTCCAAGTGTTCTCATTGTTCAGTTCCCACCTATGAGTGAGAACATGCAGTGTTTGGTTTTCTATCCTTGTGATACTTTGCTCAGAATGATGGTTTCCAGCTTCATCCACGTCCCTGAAAAGGACATGAACTCATCCTTTTTTATGGCTGCATAGTATTCCATGGTGTATATGTGCCACATTTTCTTAATCCAGTCTATCATTGATGGACATTTGGGTTGGTTCCAAGTCTTTGCTATTGTGAATAGTTCCGCAATAAACATACATGTGCATGTGTCTTTATAGCAGTATGATTTATAATCCTTTAGGTATATACCCAGTAATGGGATGGCTGGGTCAAATGGTATTTCTAGTTCTAGATCCCTGAGGAATCGCCACACTGTCTTCCACAATGGTTGAACTAATTTACACTCCCACCAACAGTATAAAAGCATTCCTATTTCTCCACATCCTCTCCAGCATCTTTTGTTTCCTGATTTTTTACTGTTCGCCATTCTAACTGGCGTGAGATGGTATCTCATTGTGGTTTTGATTTGCATTTCTCTGATGACCAGTGATGATGAGCATTTTTTCATGTGTCTGTTGGCTGCATAAATGTCTTCTTTTGAGAAGTATCTGTTCATATCCTTTGCCCACTTTTTGATGTTGTTGTTTGTTTTTTTCTTGTAAATTTGTTTAAGTTCCTTGTAGATTCTGGATATTAGCCCTTTGTCAGATGGGTAGATGGTAAAAATTTTCTCCCATTCTCTAGGTTGCCTGTTCACTCTAATAGTAGTTTCTTTTGCTGTGCAGAAGCTCTTTAGTTTAATTAGATCCCATTTGTCTATTTTGGCTTTTGTTGCCATTGCTTTTGATGTTTTGGTTATGAAGTCCTTGCACATGCCTATGTCCTGAATGGTATTGCCTAGGTTTTCTTCCAGGGTTTTTAATGGTTTTAGGTCTAACATTTAAGTCTTTAATCCATCTTGAATTAATTTTTGTGTAAGGTGTAAGGAAGGGATCCAGTTTCAGCTTTCTCCATATGGCTAGCCAGTTTTCCCAACACCATTTATTAGATAGGGATTCCTTTCCCCATTTCTTGTTTTTGTCAGGTTTGTCAAAGATCAGATGGTTGTAGATGTGTGGTTTTATTTCTGAGGCCTCTGTTCTGTTCCATTGGTCTATACCTCTGTTTTGGTACCAGTACCATGCTGTTTTGGTTACTGCAGTCTTGCAGTACAGTTTGAAATCAGGTAGCGTGATGCCTCCAGCTTTGTTCTTTTGGCTTAGGATTGGCTTGGCTATGCGGGCTCCTTTTTGGTTCCATATGAACTTTAAAGTATTTTTTTCCAATTCTGTGAAGAAAGTCATTGGTAGCTCGATGGGGATGGCATTGAATCTATAAATTACCTTGGGCAGTATGGCTATTTTCATGATATTCATTCTTCCTACCCATGAGCATGGAATGTTTTTCCATTTGTTTGTGTCCTCTTTTATTTCGTTGAGCAGTGGTTTGTAGTTCTCCTTGAAGAGGTCCTTCACATCCCTTGTAAGTTGGATTCCTAGGATTCCGAAATTCCTAGTTGGATTTTATTCTCTTTGAAGCAATTGTGAATGGGAGTTCCCTCATGATTTGGCTCTCTGTTTGTCTGTTATTGGTGTATAAGAATGCTTGTGATTTTTGCACATTGATTTTTGCACATTGATTTTGTATCCTGAGACTTTGCCGAAGTTGCTTATCAGCTTAAGGAGATTTTGGGCTGAGACAATGGGGTTTTCTAAATATGCAATCATGTCATCTGCAAACAGGGACAATTTGACTTCCTCTTTTTCTAATTGAATACCATTTATTTCTTTCTCTTGCCTGATTGCCCTGGCCAGAACTTCCAACACTATGTTGAGTAGGAGTGGTGAGAGAGGGCGTCCTTGTCTTGTGCCGGTTTTCAAAGGCAATGCTTCCAGTTTTTGCCCATTCAGTATGATATTGGCTATGGGTTTGTCATAAACAGCTCTTATTATTTTGAGATACATTCCATCAATACCTAGTTTATTGAGAGTTTTTAGCATGAAGGGCTGTTGAATTTTGTCGAAGGACTTTTCTGCATCTATTGAGATAATCATGTAGTTTTTGTCATTGGTTCCATTTACGTGATGGATTACATTTATTGATTTGTGTATGTTGAACTAGCCTTGCATCCCAGGGATAAAGCCAACTTGATCATGGTGGATAAGCTTTTTGATGTGCTGCTAGATTCAGTTTGCCAGTATTTTATTGAGGATTTTTGCATCGAAGTTCATCAGGGATATTGGTCTAAAATTCTCTTTTTTGTTGTGCCTCTGCCAGGCTTTGGTATCAGGATGATGCTGACCTCATAAAATAAGTTAGGGAGGATTCCCTCTTTTTCTATTAATTGGAATAGTTTCAGAAGGAATGGTACCAGCTCCTCTTTGTACCTCTGGTAGAATTCGGCTGTGAATCCGTCTGGTCCTGGACGTTTTTTTGGTTGGTGGGCTATTAATTATTGCTTCAATTTCAGAGCCTGTTATTGGCCTATTCAGAGATTCAACTTCTTCCTGATTTAGTCTTGGGAGGGTGTATGTGTCAAGGAATTTATCTATTTCTTCTAGATTTAATAGATTATTTGTGTAGAGGTGTTTATAGTATTCTCTGATGGTAGTTTGTATTTCTGTGGGATGGGTGGTGATATCCCCTTTATCATTTTTTATTGCATCTATTTGATTCTTCTCTCTTTTCTTCTTATTAGTCTTGCTAGCGGTCTGTTGATTTTGTTGATCTTTCCAAAAAAGCAGCTCCTGGATTCATTGATTTTTTGAAGGGTTTTTTGTTTCTCTATCTCCTTCAGTTCTGCTCTGGTCTTAGTTATTTCTTGCCTTCTGCTAGCATTTGAATTTGTTTGCTCTTGCTTCTCTAGTTCTTTTAATTGTGATGTTAGGATGTCAATTTTAGATCTTTTCTGCTTTCTTTTGTGGGCATTTAGTGCTATAAATTTCCCTCTACACACTGCTTTAAATGTGTCCCAGAGATTCTGGTATGTTGTGTCTTTGATCTCATTGATTTCAAAGAACATCTTTATTTCTCCCTTCATTTCATTATGTACACAGTAGTCATTCAGGAGCTGGTTGTTCAGTTTCCATGTTGTTGTGCAGTTTTGAGTGAGTTTATTAATCCTGAGTTTTAATTTGATTGCACTGTGGTCTGAGAAACAGTTTATTGTGATTTCTGTTCTTTTTCATTTGCTGAGGAGTGCTTTACTACCGATTATGTTGTCAATTTTAGAATAACTGCGATGTGGTGCTGAGAAGAATGTATATTCTGTTGATTTGGGGTGCAGAGTTCTGTAGATGTCTATTACATCTACTTGGTGCAGAGCTGAGTTCAAGTCCTGGATATCCTTGTTAACCTTCTTTCTCGTTTATCTGTCTAATATTGACAGTGGGGTGTTAAAGTCTCCCATTATTATTGTGTGGGAGTCTAAGTCTCTTTGTAGATCTCTAAGGACTTGCTTTATGAGTCTGGGTGCTCCTGTAATGGGTGCATATATATTTAGGATAGTCAGCTCTTCTTGTTGAATTTATCCCTTTACCATTATGTAATGGCCTTCTTTTTCTCTTTTGATCTGTGTTGGTTTAAAGTCAATTTTATGAGAGACTAGGATTGCAACTCCTGCTTTTCTTTTGCTTTCCATTTGCTTAGTAGATCTTCCTCCATCCCTTTACTTTGAGCCTATGTGTGTCTCTGCACATGATATGGGTCTCGTGAATACAGCACACTGATGGGTCTTGACTCTTTATCCAATTTGCCAGTCTGTGTTGTTTAATTGGGGCATTTAGCCCATTTACATTTAAGGTTAATATTGTTATGTGTGAATTTGATCCTGTCATTATGATGTTAGCTGGTTATTTTGCCCATTAGTTGATGCAGTTTCTTCATAGCATCAATGGTCTTTACAATTTGGCATGTTTTTGCAGGGGCTGGTACTGGTTGTTCCTTTCCATGTTTAGTGCTTCCTTCAGGCCTGGTGGTGACAAATCTCTCGGCATTTGCTTGTCTCTAAAGGAGTTTATTTCTCCTTCACTTATAAAGCTTAGTTTGGCTGGATAAGAAACTCTGGGTTGAAAATTATTTTCTTTAAGAATGTTGAATACTGGCCCCTACTCCCTTCTGGCTTGTAGGGTTTCTGCCAAGAGATCCGCTGTTAGTCTGATGGGCTTCCTTTTGTGGGTAACCCAACCTTTCTCTCTGGCTGCCCTTAACATTTTTTCTTTCATTTCAACCTTGGTAAATCTGACAATTATGTGTCTTGGGGTTGCACTTCTCGAGGAGTATCTTTGTGGTGTTCTCTGTATTTCCTGAATTTGAATGTTGGCCTGCCTTCCTAGGTTGGGGAAGTTCTCCTGGATGATATCCTGCAGAGTGTTTTCCAACTTGGTTCCATTCTCCCCGTCACTTTCAGGTACACCTATCAGATGTAGATTTGGTCTTTTCACATAGTCCCATGTTTCTTGGAGGCTTTGTTCATTTCTTTTTATTTTCTCTAATCTTGTCTTCTCACTTTATTTCATTAATTTTATCTCTAATCACTGATATCCTTTCTTCCACTTGATCAAATCAGCTATTGAAGTTTGTGCATTCCTCACGAAGTTCTCGTGCCATGGTTTTCAGCTCCATCAGGTCATGTAAGGTCTTCTCTACTCTGTTTATTCTAGTTAGCCATTCATCTAATCTTTTTTCAAGGTTTTTAGCTTCCTTGAAATGGGTTAGAATGTGCTTCTTTAGCTCAGAGAAGTTTGTTATTACCAACCTTCTGAAGCCTACTTCTGTCAACTCGTCAAAGTCTTTTTCCGTCCAGCTTTGTTCTGTTGCTGGCAAGGAGCTGCAATTCTTTGGAGGAGAAGAGGCACTCTGATTTTTAGAATTTTCAGCTTTTCTGCTCTGGTTTCTCCCCATCTTTGTGGTTTTATCTACCTTTGGTCTTTGATGTTGGTGGATGGGGTTTTGGTGTGGATGTCCTTTTTGTTGATGCTGATGTTATTTCTTTCTGTTTGTTAGTTTTCCTTCTGACAGTCAGGTCCCTCAGCTGCCGGTCTGTTGGAGTTTGCTGGAGGTCCACTCCAGAACCTGTTTGCCTGGGTATCACCAGTGGAGGCTGCAGAACAGCAAATATTGCAGAACAGCAGATCTTGCTACCTGATCCTTCCTCTGGAAGCTTCGTCCCAGAGGGGCACCTGCCTGTATGAAGTGTCTGTCAGCCCCTACTGGGAGGTGTCTCCTAGTTAGGCTACACAGGTGTCAGGGACCCACTTGAGGAGGCGGTCTGTTTCAGAGCTCAAACGCCATACTGTGAGAACCACTGCTCTCTTCAGAGTTGTCAGACAGGGACATTTAAGTCTGCACAAGTTTCTGCTGCCTTTTGTTCAGCTATGCCCTGCCCACAGAGGTGGAGTCTATATAGGCAGTAGGCCTTGCTGAGCTACAGTGGGCTCTGCCCAGTTCGAACTTCCCAGTCGCTTTGTTTAACTATTCAAGCCTCAGCAATGGTGGACGCCCCTCCCCCTCCAGGCTGCAGCCTTGCAGGTTGATCTCAGACTGCTGCACTAGCAGTGAGCAAGGCTCCGTGGGCATGGGAACTGCCAAGCCAGGTATGGGAGAGAATCTCCTGGTCTGCCAGTTGCTAAGACCATGGGAAAAGCACAGTATTTGGGCGGGAGTGTTTCATTTTTCCAGGTACAGTCTGTCATGGCTTCCCTTGGCTATGAAAGGGAAATCCCCTGACCCCTTGTGCTTCCCAGGTGAGGCGACACCCTGCCCTGCTTTGACTCGCCCACCGTGGGCTGGACCCACTGAAACACTTCACCTTCAAACACACACATAGGTTAAAAATAAAGGAATGGAAAAGGATATTCCATGCCAATGGAAACCAAAAAATTAGCAGAAGTAGCTATACATATACAGACAAACTAGATTTCAAGACAATAGCTATTAGAAGGGACAAAGAAAGACACTATATAATGATAATAGGGTCAATTCTGCAAGAGGATATAACAATTTTAAATATATACACAGTCAAAACTGGAGAACCCAGACATATAAAGCAAATATTCAAGCTAAAGAGAGAGACCCAAATACAATAATAGCTGGAGACTTCAACAGCCCACTTTTAGCATTGGACAGATATCCAACAAAAAATCAACAAAGAAATTCAGACTTAGTCTGCACTATAAACTAAATGAATATAATAGATATTTACAGAACATTTGATTCAACAGCTACAGAATACACATTCTTTTCCTTAGCACGTGGATCATTCTCTAAGATAGATTATATTTTGGGGTAACAAAAAAAGGCTTACAATATTCAAAAAATTGAAATAATATCAAGCATCTTTTCTGACCACAATGGAATAAAACTAGAAATCAATAACAAAAGGAATTCTGGAAACTAAAGAAATACATGGAAATTAAACAATATGCTCCTGAATGAACAGTGGGTCAATGAAGAAATTAAGAAGAAAATTTAAAAATTTCTTGAAACAAATAATAATGGGAACACAACATATGAAAACCTATGAGATACAGCAAAAGCACTACTAAGAGTGAAGTTTATAGCTGTAAGTGCCTATGTTAAAAAAGAATAAAAACTTCAAATAAATAACTGAATGATGCCTCTTACAGAACTAGAAAAGCAAGAGCAAAACAAACCAAAAGTTAGTAGAGAAAATAAAGATCAGAACAAAAATAAATGAAATTGAAATGAAGAAAATAATAGAAAATACCAAAAAAAGAAAAAGTTGGGTTTTTGAAAAGATAAACAAAATTCACAAAACTTTAGACAGACTCACTAAGAAAAAAAAGATAGACGATGCAAATAAGTAAAATAAGATGAAAAAGGAAATATCACAACCAATACCACAAAAATTCAAAGGATTAATAGTGGCTACTATGAGCAACTATGTGCCAATAAATTGGAAAATCTAGAATAAATAGATAAATTCCTGGACACATACAACCTACTAAGATTGAACCATGAAGAAATCTTAACCTGAACAGACCAGTAGCAAGTAACAGGATCAAAGTCTCCCAGCACAGAAATGCCTGGGACCCAATGGCTTCACTGTTGAAATCTAAAAAACATTTAAAGAACTAATACCAATCCTACTCAAACTATTCCAAGAAACAAAGGAGAAGGGAATAATTCCAGACTCATTCTATGAGCCATATTGCTCTGATACCAAAGCCAGACAGAGACACATCAAGAAAAGAAAACTACAGGCCAACATCCCTGATGAACATTGATGCAAAAATCCTCAACAAAATACTAGCAAACCGAGTTGCACAACACATTGAGAAGATCATTCATCATGACCAAGTGGGATTTATCCCAGGGATGCAATGATGGTTCAACATATGCAGATTGGGCAATATGATACATCATATCAACAGAATGGAGGACAAAAACCATGTGATCATTTCAATAGATGCTGAAAAAGCATTTGATAAAATTTGACATCGCTTCATTATAAAATCCCTTTAAAAACTGGATATATAGATGGAACATACCTCAATATAATAAAAGCCATATATGACAGACCCACAGCTAGTATCATGCTGAATGGGGATCAGAACATGACAAGGATGCTTTTTTTCACCACTGTTACTAACGTAGCATTAGAAGTCCTAGCTAGAGCAATCAGACAAGAGAAAGAAATAAAGGGCCTCCAAATTGGAAAGGAGGAAGTTAAATTATCCTTGTTTGCAGATGATATGATCTTATATTTGGAAAAACCTAAAGACTCCACCAGAAACCTATTGGAACTGATCAAACAAATTCAGTAACATTGCAGGATACAAAATCAAGATACAAAAATCAGTAGCATTACTATATGCCAACAGTGAACCATCTGAAAAAGAAATCAAGAGAGTAATCCCATTTACAATAGCTACAAGTAAAATCAAATACGTGAGATTTAGCCAAGGAAGTGAAAAATCTCTGCAATGAAAACTATAAAATATTGATGAAAGAAATTGCAGAGGACATACAAAAAAAAGAAAAGATATTCTATGTTCATGGATTGGAAGAATCAATATTGTAAAAATGTCCATACTACCCAAAGCAATCTACAGATTCATAGCAATCCCTATCAAAATACCAATGACATTCTTCACAGAAACAGAAAAAACAATTCTAAAATTTATATGGAACCACAAAAGACCCAGAATAGCCAAAGCTATCCTGAGCCAAAAGAACAAAACTGGAGGATCACATTACCTGATTTCAAATTATACTACAGAGCTATAGTAAAGAAAACAGCATGATACTGGCATAAAAGCAGATACGTAAACCAAAGGAACAAAATAGAAAAGTCAGAAACAAATCCATACATCTACAGTGAGCTCATTTTTGACAAAGATGCCAAGAACATACATTAGGGAAAAGACAAACTCTTCAATAAATGATGCTGGGAAAACTGGATATCTACATGCAGAATGAAACTAAACCTCTATCTCTTGCCATGTACAAAAATAAAATCTAAATTGATTAAAGACTTAAATCTAATATCTCAAACTATGAAACTACTACAAGAAAACACTGGGGAATCTTTCTAGCAAATTGGACGGGGCAAAGATTTCTTAAGTCATATCCCACAAGCACAGGAAACCAAAGCAAAAGTGGACAAATGGGATCATATCAAGTTAACAAGCTTCTGCACAGCAAAGGAAACAATGAACAAAATGAAAAGACAACCCAGAGAATGGGAGAAAATATTTGCAAACTACCCATCTGACAAGAGATTAATAATCAGAATATATAAAGAGTTCCAACAACTCTATAGGAAAAAATCTAACAATCTTATTAGCCCTTTTCCCATTGGACTTAAGAACACTTGCCAACAGTGCTTGCAAGTATTAACCAAGGAAGTGAAAGTAAGATTAGTATTATTTTTGCATTGCTCCAGTACATTGACTTTGGAAACAAAACACATCATTCTATTTATAGCATTCTGTTTTTAGTAATGGTATTTCCGTTTACAAAATATAGTAAATCTCAATTGATAAAAATGTCAAATCTTAGAAAACGTAGCCTTCCTAGATGTCACGTTAACATTGTTCTTGTACAGTTTTTGGCCGAAGATTCATTTGAAGAATCTGAGTTTTCCAAAATAGACGATTCTGATGAGTCAGATGATTCTGATGTTAGTTCTGTTTAGAAAAAAACTCCAAAAACAGTTTTTATATTTTATTTTTACATTGCAAATCAGTCAGATTTGCTCCAGCCTCAAAGAGTGTGTTTATGTAAAATTAAATGAGTGCTGGTAGTGAGCTGCACTTTTCTTTTACTAAAAAGGAAAAGGGTGAAAAAATGTGCAAAAGACCTGAACAGATGTTTCTGAAAAGAAGAGATACAAATGGCAGTCATATGAAAAGGTGCTTAACCTCAGTGATCATTAGAGAAATGCAAATCAAAACTACAATGAGATATCTCAGCCCAGTTAAAATTGATTTTATCCAAAAGACAAGCAATAAGAAATAGTGCCAAGTATGTGGAGAAAAGGGAAACCTCATACTGTCAGTGGGAATATAAATTAATACAACCACTATGGAAATCAGTTTGAGGTTCCTCAAAACAACTAAAAATATAGTTACCATATGATCCAGCAATCCCACTGTTGGGTATATACCCAAAGGAAAAGAAATCAGTATATTGAAGAGATATCTACACTCCCATGTTTATTGCAGCACTATTCACAATAGTCAAGATTTGGAAGGAACCCAAAATGTTTATCAACAGATGAATGAAGAAAATGTGGCACATATACACTCTTGAGCACTATTCAGCCTTATAAAATACGAGATCCTGTCATTTGCAACAACGTGGATGGCACTGGAGGTCATTGTGTTGAGTGAAATAAGCCAGGCACAGAAGGACAATCTTCGCTTTCATTTTTTATTTTCACTTAGTCATGGGAGCTAAAAATTAAAACAACTGGGCTCAACGGAGATAGAGAGCAGAATGATGGTTACCAGAGCCTAGAAGTGTAGTGGGGAGAGAGAAGGGGAATGGTTAATGGGTACAAAACAGTAAAAAGAATGAATAAATTCCAGTATTTGATAGTACAATAGGGTGACTATATTTAATAATAATTTAGTTGTACATTTTAAGATAACTAAAAGAGTATGTTTGGATTGTTTGTAACACAAAGGATAAATGTTTGAGATTATAGATATCTCATTTACCCTGATGTAATTTATTACACATTGTATGCCTGTATCATCAAAATATACCATATACCCTATATATATATACACACACACTATATATACACATAGTAGGTGGGTATGTATATATATACACATATATATGCTGATATATATATACATATATGTATAATGTATATATACATGCTGATATATATACATATACATATATATGCTGAAGATATATATATATACACATACCCACCTACTATGTACCCACAAAAATTAAAAATTAAAAAAAACATACTGGTAACAGATTTGCTGTCATCCTGGGCTTTGATGTTCCATTTCTAGAGCATAGGCAGAGTAAATGTAGCATAATTTTTAAGGGCCCAAGGACTTTCAGAATGATAAATGACCATTGGCTTCAACTTAATATCACCAGCTGCATTAGCCCTTAACAAGAGAGTCAGCCTGTCCTTAGAAGCTTTGAAGTCAGGCATTGACTTCTCTCTAGCTATGAAAGTTCTAGATGGCATATTCTTCCAACAGAAGACTGTTTCATCAACATTGAAATTCTATTGCTTAGTGTAGCCACCTTTAACAGTTTTCTGAGCTAGATCTTCTGCAGCTTCTCCATCAGCACTTGCTGCTTCACCTTGCACTTTTGTTATGGAAATGGCTTCTTTCCTTAAATCTCATGAACCAGCCTCTGCTAGCTTCAGACTTTTCTTCTGCAGCTTCCTTGCTTCATAGAATTGAACAGAGTAAAGGCCTTGCTCTGGATTTGGCTTAATGGAATATTGTGGCTGGTTTCAGCTATCTAGACCACGAAAACGTTCTCCGGATAAGCAATAAGGCTGTTTCACTTTCTTATCATTTATTTGTTTACTGGAGTAGCACTTTTAATCTTGTTCAGGAACTTTTTCTTTGCATTCACAACTTGGCCGGTTGGCACAAAAAGCCTAGCTTTCAGCCTGTCCTGCCTTCCGACATGTCTTTTTTACTAAGCTTTATCATTTCTAGCTTTTGATTTAAAGGAGAGACATGTAACTTTTCCTTTCATTTGAACATGTAAAGGCCATTGTAAGGTTATTAATTGGCCTAATTTCCATACTGTTGTATTTTAGGGAATAGGGAGCCCTGAGGAGAAGGAAAGAGATGAGGGATGGCCAGTCAGTGGAGCAGTCAGAACACACACAACATTGATCAGTTAACTTTGCTGTCATATATGAGTGCAGTTTGTGGCACCCTGAAAGAACTGTAATGGTAACGTCAAAGATAATTGAATATAGATCTGTAATAGTAACATCAAAGATAACTGATTATAGATCACCATAACAAATATAATAGTAATGAAAAAGTTTGAAATACTGTAAGAATTACCCAAATGTGACACTGAGACATGAAGTGAGTACATGCTGTTAGAAAAACGGTATAGAGTGTCCACAAATCTTCAATTTGAAAAAAAAACACACACACACAAACAAACAAACAAAATCTCTGCAAAGCACATTAATCCAAGGCACAATAAAATGAGGTATGCCTGTATTAATAATTTCTATCTTCTTTTTTTCTTGGTTAGCCTGGCTAGAGGTTTACTAATTTTATTGATCTTTTCAAAGAACTAGATTTGGGTTTCATTGATTTTCTCTCTTAATTTCTTGTTTTCAATTTCTTTGATTGCTGCCCTAATTTTACTATTTTATTTCTTCTACTTAATTTGGACTTAACTTGCCTTTCTTTTCTAGTTTCCTCAGGTAAAAGTTTATATTATTGATTTTATATCTTTCTTTCTAATATGTCCATTAAATGCTATTAATAGCCTTCTAAGCACTGCTTTTGCTACATTCTGAAAATTTTGATAAATTATACTTTTATTTTCATTTAATTAAAAAAAATTTAACTTTTTCTGAGATTTTATTTTTGAACAATGTGTTATTTATATGTATGTTTTTTAATCTCCAAATGTTTTGGAGGTTTTCTTCCTATTTTTCTGTTACTAATGACTAGTTTAATTCCAATATGGTCTAAGAGAATACTTTGTATGATTTTAATTATTTTTAATTTGTTAAGGTGTGTTTTAAAGCCCAAGATGTGATTTATCTTGATAAATGTTCCACATTTATAGAATTTATAGAATTGACATTCTATGTCAATCAGGTCCAGTTAATTAACAGTGCTTTCAGTCCAATTATATCCTGATTTTCTGCCTGCTGAATCTGTTGCTTTTTGAGAGAAGGATGTTGAAATTTCCAACTATAAAAGTGGATTATTTCTTGCAGTTCTATCAGTTTTGGCCTCATCTATTTTAATGCTGTTTTTAGGCACAGATACATGAAGGATTGTTGTTTCTTCTTAGAGAATTGACCCCTTTATTATGTAATGGCCATTTTTATCCCTGAAGATTTTTCTTGCTCTGAAATCTGCTTCATGCGATATTGATACAGCTATTCAAGCTTTCTTTTGATTGCTGACAGCATGGCATATATTTCTCTAACCCTTTACTTTTAATATATCTGGGTCTTTATATTTAAATTGGATTTCTTGTAGACAACATATAGTTGGTTCTTTGTTTTTTATCCACTGTGATAATCTGTGTTTTAATTGGTGTATTTAGACCATTCACATTTAAAGTCATTATTGATGTGGTTTGATTAATATGTACCTTTTTATAATTGTTCTCTTTTTCCACCGGTTCTTTATCTTTTTCTATCTTCCACTCTTTTTTTTTCTTTCCTGGTTTAAGTTGAACATATTATATGATTCAATGTTCTCTTTTCTCTTAGCATATTGTTTGTTTCCTTTGAAAAATTTTAAGTGGTTGTCCTAGAGTTTGCAATATGCATTTACAACTAATCTAAATCTACTTTCAAATAACACCATACTGGTTCACAGAAAGTGCAGGTACCTTATAAAAAATATTCCTAGTTCCTCTCTCCTATCCCTTAAACATTTCTGTCATATATTTCACTTATTCATAAGCGATATCCAACATATCATTGCTCTTATTATTTTGAACAAACTTTTACCTGTTAGGCCACTGAAACATAAGAAAAATAAAATATTTTATTTTACCTTCATTTATGTATTTTTGAACACTCTTCCTTTGTAATCCAGATCCATGTGTCTGACCTATATCATTTTCCTTCTCCCTGAAGGAGAAGGCCTTCTTTTAACATTTTTTTACAAGACAAGCCTACTGGTGACACATTTCCTCAAGTTTTGTTTGTATGAGAAAGTCTTTATTTCTCCTTCACTTTGAAGGACAGTTTAATTGGATATAGAACTCTAGGTTGGTGGGTTTTTTTCTTTCAACACTTTAAATACTTCGTTCCACTTTCTTCTTGCTTTCATGGTATCTGATAAGTTTCTGAAATTCTTACCCTTGTTCTTCTAACGATAAGATGTTTTCCCCCTCTGGCTTCCTTCAAGATTTTCTCTTTATCTTTGCTTTCCTGTAGTTTAAATATGATATGCTTAAGTGTAGTTTTTTGTTTGTTTATTTTGGTATTTCTCCTGCTTGGTATTCACTGAGCTTCTTTGCATCTGTGGTTTGGTATCTGTTAATAATTTTGGAATATTCTCAGCCATTATTATTTCAAATATTTATTTTGTTTCTTTCTCTCTTTCTTCTTCTGGGATTCCTATTACATGTATATCACATCTTCTGTAGTTGTCACACAGTTCTTGAATATTCTATTTTTTCACTAATTTTTCTCTTCGATTTTCAGCTTGGGAAGCTAATATTGCCATATCTTCAGTTTCACTGATCTTTTCCTGGACCATGTCTAGTCTACTGGTGAGCCCATCAAAGACATTATGTATGTAATAGTGTTTTTTTGTTTCTAGCATTTGCTTATTTGCTTTTGATTCTTTCTTAGAATTTTCATCTATCTGCTTGTATTATCTGTCTATTTTTGAATGTTGTTCACTTTTTCCATTACAGCCCTTAACATATTAGTTATACCTATTTTAAATTTCTGGTCTTATAATTCCTAAATTTCTGCTGCATCCAAGTGTGGCTGTGATGCTTACCTTGTCTCTTCAGACTGGTTGTTTTTTTGTTCTTTGGTTATCCAATCCACCATTGATGGGCATCTAGATTGATTCCATGTGTTTGCTAGCAAATATTTGTTGAACATCAGTATGATTCAGGCAGGGTGCTAGTTATCTGTGAAACAATGGTGAGCACAATAGAAATAATCCTTGTCATTATGAGACTCATAATCTAGAGGTAAGATGCAGACAAGTAAACAGACAACTATAATACAATGTAAAAAATGCCATAATGAGGATCATACAGAGTACTATGTAAGAACATAGAAAGGGCAATATAACGCAGATGGGGAGTTAGGGAAGGCTTTCTAGGAAGAAGTTATGATCAAGGTGAGACCTAAAGGATAAATAGGAGCTAACCAAATAAAGAATGAATAAAAAATGTTCCAAACATGTTTGAAGACCTGGATGTGATAGTTAGGAAACTGAAGAAGTTCACTGTGGCTGGATTGTGAATGTGACTGGGGGATAGAGAACAGGGTGGCAAAAATAAGACTGGAGAGGACCCAAATCATGTGAAGCCTTTTGCTCATAGTAAGGAGTTTAGAATTTATCCTGAGGTAAGTGAGGAGGTGTTGAAAGAATTTAAGCAAGTGAGTGATACAATATGAATTGTACTTTAGGAAGATTCTCTACCTTCAAAATGGGGTATGAATTGGAATGTGGGAATATAAGAGTGTATTTAACCTTATATTATTACCACCTCTGATTTCTATTTTTAATTAAATTTGAGTTACCCAAGTATATTTGAATGCACTCACCTTTAAAAAATAATTAGGACCTAATTCTCACACCTTGTATAAAAATCCATGCAAAATAGATCATGGATTTAAATGTAAACTGTAAAACATTTTTGGAAGTAAACATAGGATAAAATTTTGGGGAACTACAGGTGGATAAAGAGTTCTTATACCTGAGACCAAAAGCACAAATCTTTAAAAGAAAACAATTGCTAAATTAGACTTTATCAAAATGAAAAAAATGCACTGGGAAAAAGATGTTAAGAGGATGAAAAAACAAGGTGCAGACTGGGAAAAAAAAATGCTTGCAAGTCACAACTGCAATAGATAATTTGTTTCCACAATATATATAAAGTGTGCTTGGAACTCAACAGTAAAAAAAAAATCAAACAATCCAATTAGAAAGTGGTCAAAAACATGAACAGACATTGAACTAAAGAAAACAAATAGGACAGGCCAAGATGGTCGATTAGAAGCAGCTTCAGTCCATGGCTTTCATGGAGAGGAATGAAAATGGTGAGTGAATTCTGCACCTTCAACTGAGGGATCCAGGTTCTCACATTGGGACTGACTAGGCAGATGGCTCGACCCATGGACAGCAAGGAAAGCAGGGTGGGGTGATGGCCCACCCAGAAGTGGTACAGAGCCAGGACAGCCCCACCCCCAGCCAAGGGAGTTGGTGAGTGATCATGCAATTCTTCCTGGGAAACCACGCTTTTCCCACAGATCTTTGCAACCTGCAGATCAGGAGATCCCCTTGTGAGCCCACACCACCAGGGCCTTGGGTCTGAAGCACAGGGCTGTATAGAGTCTCAGCAAAGTAGCTGATCAGGCACACACAGAGACACAGGAGCTTTGCATACTCCACCCTGGAAATTCCAGTTGAGGTGGGATATCATTTGTACATTCCCCTAGGAAGGGGGCTGAATAAAGGGAGCCAACTGGCATTGTTCTGTGGGCCCCACTTCCATGGAACCTCACAAGTCACAACCCACTGGGTTAGAATTCCAGCTGGCCAGAGGCAGCAGGCTGGAGATGGCCAGAGGCAGCAGGCTGGAGACAGCCTGAGATGGATTGAGTTCCTGGGGGGAGGGGCAGATGCCATCTCTATGGTTCAAGTCAGCCATTCTAGCCTGCTGGCTCCAGAGAGTCCAGGTGGTACAGACCAGCAGGAGTTCTCCATAAGGAAGCACAGCTGCTGCTGTGCCGGATCATGGCCAGACTACTTCTTTAAGTGAGATCCCAACCCATCTCTCCTCACTGGGATGTGTGGGGAGGGGCTCCCTGTGGGAATTTCAGCAATTCCGACCAGGGTTATATGGACATAACTCTGATCTCTCCCTGAGATGGAGCCCCCAGGGGGAGGGGCAACCACTGTCTCTGCAGTTCAGCTGACAGCATTTTCACCTGCTGGCTCTGGAGAGTCTGGGTGGTTTGGACGAGGTGGAAGGATTCCCCCTAGTGCAGCACATCTGCTCAGCCAAAGGGCAGCCAGACTGCTTCTTGAAGCTGGCCCCTGATCCCATTCCTCCTGACTGGGTGAGATCTCCCAACAGGGGTCTCCAGATACCTCCTAGAGGAGTGTTCAGACCAGCATCAGGTCGGTGACCACTGGGATGGAGCTTTCAGAAGAAGGAGCCGGCTGCCATCTTTGCTGTTTTGCAGCCTTCACTGGTGTTACATCCAGGTGAGGGAGGGACCAAGGTGACTAGGGTCTGGAGTGGACCCCCAGCAAACTGCAGCAGTCCTGTGGAAGAGTGGCCTGACTGTTAAAAGAGAAACAAACAAACAGGAAGCAACAGCAACAACAACAAAAAAGACCCCACAAAAACCCCCATTCAAAGGCCAGCAACCTCAAAGATTGAAGATAAACCCACAAAGATGAGAAAGAATCAATGCAAAAACACTGAAAACTCAAAATGCCAGAGTGCCTCTTCTCCTCCAAGTGACTACACCACCTTTCCAACAAGGGCACAGAACTGGGCTGAGGCTGAGATGGCTAGATTGACAGAAGTGGGCTTCATAAGGCAAGTAATAATGTGTTGTGGGAAGTCAGGGACTCCGAACAGAGGGACCAGCTGGAGCTGCAGCAGAGGAACATAAATTATGAAGATTTCACTTTAATATGGACATATATCAGTTCCCAAAATTAATACTTTTATAATTTCTTACGCCTGTCTTGCTTTAATCTCTTAATCCTATTATCTTCATAAGCTGAGGATGTATGTCACCTCAGGACCACTATTGTGTTAACTGTACAAATTGATTGTAAAACATTTGTGTTTGAACAATATGAAATCAGTGCACCTTGAAAAAGAACAGAATAACAGCAATTTTAGGGAGCAAGGGAAGACAACCATAAGGTCTGACTGCCTGCGGGGTCAGGCAGAATAGAGCCATATTTTTCTTCTTGCAGAGAGCCTATAAACGGACGTGCAAGTAGGGAAGATATTGCTAAATTCTTTTCCTAGCAAGGAATATTAATAATTAAGACCCTGGGAAAGGAATGCATTCCTGGGTGGAGGTCTATAGACAGCCGCTCTGGGAGTGTCTGTCTTATGTGGTTGAGATAAGGACTGAAA
This sequence comes from Homo sapiens, assembly GCF_000001405.40. Lineage (NCBI taxonomy): Eukaryota > Metazoa > Chordata > Mammalia > Primates > Hominidae > Homo > Homo sapiens. The sequence goes on from NC_000024.10 coordinate 56,927,075, forward strand.
TACGCCCTGGTCTCCTGCAGTACCCTCAGGCTTACTACGGTGGGGAAAAACCCCACCCTGGTGAATTCAAGGTCAGACCGGTTCTCTGCTCTCGAACCCTGTTTTCTGTTGTTTAAGATGTTTATCAAGACAATAATACGTGCACAGCTGAACATAGACCCTTATCAGTAGTTATGTTTTGCCTTTTGTCCTGTTTCCTCAGAAACATGTGATCTTTGTTCTCCTTTTTGCCCCTTGAATCATGTGATCTTTGTGACCTACTCCCTGTTCATACACCCCCTCCCCTTTTGAAACCCTTAATAAAAACCTGCTGGTTTTGTGGCTCAGGTGGGCATCACGGTCCTACCGATATGTGATGTCACCCCGGAGGCCCAGCTGTAAAATTCCTCTGTTTGTACTCTTTCTCTTTATTTCTCAGCCGGCCGACACTTATGGAAAATAGAAAGAACCTATGTTGAAATATTGGGGGTGGGTTTCCCCGATAATAATGAACTTCACTAAGCTAAAGGAGCATGTTTTAACCCAATGCAAAAAAGCTAAGAATCATGAAAACAATGATACAGGAGCTGATAACCAGGATAGCCAGTTAAGAGAGGAGCATAAATGACGTGATGGAGCTGAAAAACACAACAGGAGAACTTCACAAAGCAATCACAAGTATCAATGGCAGAATACACTAAGTGAAGGAAAGACTCTCAGAGCTTGAAGGCTATCTTTCTGAAATAAGACAGGTGGACAAGAAAAGAGAAAAAAGAATGAAAGGGAACAAACAAAACCTCCAAGAACTATGGGATTATGTAAAAAGACTGAACCTATGACTGATTGGGGTACCTGAAAGAGATGCGGAGAACAGAAACAAGTTGGAAAACATACTTCACAATATCATCCAGAAGAAATTCCCCAACCTAGCAAGACAGGCCAACATTCAAATTCAGGAAATCCAGAGAACCCCAGTAAGATGCTCCATGAGAAGATCAAACCCCAAGACACATAATCATCAGATTCTCCAAGGTCAAAATGAGAGAAAAAATGTAAAGGACAGCCAGAGAGAAAGGCCAGGTCACCTACAAAGGGAAGCTCATCAGACTAACAGCAGGCCTCTCAGCAGAAACCCTACAAGCCAGAGATTGGGAGCCAGTATTCAACGTTCTTAAAAAAAGAATTTCCAACCCAGAACATCTGGCCAAACTGAGCTTCATAAGCAAAAGAGAAATAAGATCCTTTTCAGAAAAACAAATGCTGAGGGAATTTATCACCACCAGGCCTCCCTTGCAAGAGCTCCTGAAGGAAGCACTAAATATGGAAAGGAAAAATCTTTGCCAGCCACTACTAAAACACACTGAAATACAGAGACCAGTGACACTATGAAGCAACTATATCAATAAGTCTGCAAAATAACCAGCTAGCATCATGATGACAGGATCAAATTCACGCATAACAATATTAACCTTAAATGTAAATTAGCTAAATGCCCCAATTAAAAGACACAGAATGGCAAGCTGGATAAAGAGTGAAGACCCATCAGTATGCTATCTTCAAGAGACCCATCTCATGTACAAAGACACATGTAGGCACGAAATAAAGGGATGGAGGAAAATTTACCAAGCAAATGGAAAGCAGAAAAAAGCAGGGGTCACAATTATAGAGTCTGACAAAATAGATTTTAGACCAACAAAGATCAAAAAAGACAAAGGGCATTACATAATGGTAAAGAGTTCAATTCATCAAGAAGAGCTAACTATTCTAAATATATATGCACCCAATACAGAAGCACCCAGATTCATAAAGCAAGTTCTTAGAGACCTATGAAGAGACTTAGACTCCCACACAATAATACTAGGAGACTTTATCACTCCACTGTCAATATTAGACAGATCATTAAGATGGAAAATTAAGAAAGATATACAGGACCTGAACCCTGCTCTGGATCAAGCAGACCTGACAGATATCTACTGAACTCTTCACCCAAAAACAATAGAATGTGCATCCCTTTCAATGCCACATGGCACTTACTCTAAAATTGATCACATAATTGTAAGTAAAACACTCCTCAGCAAATGCACAAGAGCTGAAATCGTAACAGTCTCTCAGACCACAGCACAAATTGGACCTCAAGATTAAGAAACTCACTCAAAATCACACAACCACAAGGAAATTGAACAACCTGCTCCTGAATGACTTCTGAGTGAATAATGAAATTAAGGTGGAAATCAAGATGTTCTTTGAAACTAATGAGAACAAAGAGGCAATGTGCCAGAATCCCTGGGACACAGCTAAAGCAGTGTTAAGAGGGATATTCACAGCATTAAATGCCCACATCAAAAAGCTAGAAAGATCTCAAATCAACAACCTAACATCACAACTAAAAGAACTAAAAGAACCCCAAAGCTAGCAGAAGACAAGAAATAACCAGCATCAGAGTAGAATTGAAGGAGACAGAGAAACAAAAAACCCTTCAAAAATCAACAAAACCAGGAGCTGGTTTTTTGAAAAAATTAATAAAATAGACTGCTAGCTAGACCAATAAAGAAGAAAAGAGAGAAGAATCAAATAGACACAATCAGAAATGGTAAGGGGGATATCACCACTGACCCCATAGAAATACAAACAACCATCGGAAAATGCTATAAACACCTCTGTGCAAATAAACTAGAAAATCTAGAAGAAATGGATAAATCCCTGGACACATACACCCTCCCAAGACTGAACCAGGAAGAAGCCTAACCAGTGTGTCAGAGATCTAGGGGAATTGGCTCCCCATGGCAGTACTCTGAATTAGTTCTGGGGATGTGCACATGGTCATGCCAAGTGTCTCTCCTCCAAGAGCTTCTGTTAGACTAGAGGTATAAATGATGCTGAATAAGGGCCCCTGGACTTAATACCAGATAAGGCATGGAGATACGTGGACAACCTGGGCATGTTACTTGTTCTTCCTGGGCCACAGTTTCTTTATGTTTGAAATGGGGATGGCAGCACCTGCTTTCTTAGTAACACTGTGAGGGTAAAATATACATATAAAAATGCCTTAGAAATGTAAAGACCTGAGAGTTTTTGAGCAAACCAGAAAGTTATCGAGAACCTTTCCTTTTGTGCAATTCAGTATATTTTGGGGGGTAAATTTTAAACACCAAATAATCCTCAACAAACAAATGTACAAATAGTTCCTGAAATGAGGCAAATATACTCCTCCTGGAACATAAAACAATTCAAATTTCCAACAAATTTATCAAATATGTAAATAAGTGTTGATAACTTGAAAAACAAAAAAGGAATAAAATCATGATACATCAACATGAATGAACCTTGAAAACATTATGCTAAGAAGCTAGACATAAAAGGACAATTTTAAATAATTCCATTTATATATTTATATTAAGAGATAAATGTGTTTTCATATCCCAATTTTCTCCTCATCTATTCATAAAAGGCAAGCTGCCCAAAGGAAGCATGCAACACTGCAAGGAATGCAATTTAGTGTGGCTGGGCAACTTTGGCTGGAGGGGGTACAGAAGGGAGAAAGAAGATGGAAGACAGTCTAAGACTCAAGGCATCTTGCGACTCTGAGACTTCAGAGGTGAGGCCACCTATGAACTGGGTGGATGTTTGGGAAAACATGTAATTCAAGGCAGTTCTGAAACTCTGTGGGTTTTGTGTGGATTCCGAGGTAATCCTACAGTAGAAAGTCCAGCCAAATGGTGAGAATAAGCAAGAGTCTTGGAGAAAAATGAACAGAATGAAGGCAATGTCCTACCATAATGCATGCTCTTGCAAGGACAGACAGACACCATGATATCCTTAGGATCTCCTGAGGCAGTTTGTGTAAAAGGAGGCAACTTGCCACCAAAGTGGGAAAGAAGTGGTTAAACAGCAACAGTAGGGCTCCTGCTTCCTGGAGCTGTTGGGTGACATTTCCCTGCAACAATCCTAGAATCTTAAAGTGTGGTGTCGGTTTCACTTCGGATTCCAAACGGGAAGGGACTTTTCCTGGCAAACGCAGTTTAAAGTGTTTCTTTCAGTGTCATGCTGTACAGAAAAATACTAATCCCACAGAGAAAATTAGTCACAAAAACAGAAGGAAAAAAATACAACATGAGTGCAGACCCAGGACACTAAAGTCAGAGAGACAGAACCACAGCCTCGCACAACCATTGCTCACATTGTGTAAAGCATTACTGGAAGGAAACAAAGTCTTCAATAGAAACCTGCTGCACCACTCTTAGCAAACTCCTTTTGTTTGACCTGGGGCCACTTTACCTGTGGATTGTTTTGTAGCAGATTTTCCAGGTAATGCTTAGATTTTTCATGCTCCCCCAGTTCATTGGATTGGGCTTCAGGGGTTCTTTCTGGTGTGTGTCTGATTCAGATTGTATTTTAGGAATACTTAGAATTGAGGAAGAATAGGATGCTAAGCTACTGAGTGCAAAGCCTCTTTACTAACTTCCAATAATATCTGAACTCATGTCTAAGGAACATAGAAGCATCTTTCAATTCCTAGTCTCATTTTCTCACCATTCAAATGTTCCTTAGGGAGAATAGAGATCCTATGCAAGTCTCAGGAATTGCTCTAGAGAAAACTATCTTTCCCCAAGCTTGAGAAACTTATCCCAGACCAACTTTCTTTCCCCAAATTTTGTTTAAATTAAAAATAGGCAACTAGAGGGGGTCAGCTAGTTGGTGTTCCATAGATGCTTTCCTTGAAGCAGGGTAAAGAGCTTTGATTTATTCTTAATTGTTTCTGTCATTTAAGGGTGCATCAGAGACCCTGTTGTAATATTAAATTATATCACTATTGAGGAGCCCATAAGGCTGGGGCCGGTACAAGGATCATCATGAAGTGCAGCTATTGAGAGCTACTGACAACTTCTTAGAGGTGTGGCTGAAAGCAGCTAGCAAGAATATAAGAGACAAAATCTTGTGTTGAGGGAAGTCACCTGTGAGAGCAGCAGGTAGATGTTGAGGCTTGGGAGACCTTATTGTTCTAAGATACCTGGCCTTGTCTTCCAAACAAAAAATCATCCTTGACATGCAGAAAGACTACTGATTTCTCAATAGATTTATAATGGAACAGATATAATGATGTGACCTGGAGCAATTTCTTTAACCTCATACAGAATCAAATTCCCCATCTGCACATAAAAGTATTTACCTCATAGGTTTATTGTGAAGCTTAAGATAAAATATGTAATTTACCTTGCATAATGCTTGGCATATAGTAAGCACCGAATATACATTAGTTATTAATATTGTTATTTTCATGAGCAAACCTAGTAGTGATAAAAGCTCAGAAACACTGGGTAGGAGCTTGAGCTAGCTACAGAGAACTTGAATTGTAACCTGGCCTTCAGATTCCTCATCAGAAGGGTGGGACCAGGAATAAGAGCGAGCGTTACACTTGGCTCAAGTCCAAACTGCATGACTGCACAAACACTGTAACTGCTCTGTATTCAGACACATTTGAAAGGATTTTTCCAGCATAAATTTCTAAATGTGCTGCTTGTTTTGTAATTCAATCTAGGGCAGCAGCAGCAGTGCTATCATTATTTACATTTCTAGCTTTTGGTCTTGGATCCAAAATATTTGTAGCAGTGTGAATTGGCTCATAAGAAAATTCTTCTCTTTTCTTCAAAAAAGTTTCATGTTACTTTCTTTTATACCTGTAAGCAAGTAAATATTAATAATCTTTTACATTGATTTGTTTCTGAGACATTTGGTCAGAAATAATTTGCAGAAATAAATTGATTCAGACACTGTAGCTAATTTAACATTAATTTTTTCCTATTTCTTTGATTTTTAGAAATTATTCCAGTAGAGGAGAACCTCATCAGCAACATATTAACTTTCTGATATTGTTAATACAATTTTTTCATTTTAATGAACAAAAGGCAATACAAAGACCTTGTAAACAATTAGAAAATCATCTTGCCCTCAATTAAATTTTCTATTCTCCAAGATTTAAATTTTCAACAGTAACCTAAATAGCTGTTAACCCTCTATTCATGAGTGTAAAGGGGAGAAAACATTTTTGTTTATGTATATGTCAAGTCTTAAGATTGTTTCAATAGTGACCAGTTCCTTTTCAGTCTTTCCTTTACCTTGGTTGTGTTTGAGTCTTAAGTTCTCGGACATTAATAACTGCACATTGGGTACTCAAATTCTGGAAGGACTAACCTGGCTGATCTATAATGGACAGCTGTGCATGACCCCAATAAATGAACTCCTGCATAATCTGCAACTAGTCTAGACTACAAGCAGTAAATAGTTGTTGAAGGATGAATGATGGAATGGTCAGGACTTTTCTATGTAAGAAGGCTACTGAGAGTGTTCACTCCACACATAAGGTTTCCAGGTACTATATGTTTCTATTTCTGTCTGTATTTCCATTTACTCTTTCTTTAAATCTTTTATTGTCTCCTCTTGGCTCCAAACTGTGGATCTGGGACCACATGCGACTCCAAGTAAACTTTCAGCCCTCAAATGACCTCAGTATTACATCCTTCCTGAAGTATCGCAGAATTTTTCTCTAAATTAAAGGAGAATCACAGGACGTCACACTTAATGACTGCTGATTCAAAATTAATTTTCCTTCCTTTGATGCCTAAATCTACTTCAGCACATAATTATAGAATTCTGCTTTGGAAGGGGCCCTAGAGCTTAATCTAATTTTCAACTAATTGCAGGATTCATTATTAGAGAACCAATGATAGTTTGTAAATCAGTCTTTGAGCATTTACCTGATAAAACTATTCCATCAGTAGTTAGAAACTATTCCATTAGTACTTAGCTCTTAAAATGAGCTAAGACCCACCTCCTTAAAACTTCCTTTGAGCAAAGCTTCATGGCCCCACAAAAGAAAAGATTTTCCTATTTTCATTTAAAATATCATATTATTAAATTATCTCTAAATGGCAAATATAGCATATTTTAACAGGAAGTATTCCTAGTGGTTCTATCTCCATTAATCCATACTCCAAAATATTGCCCACTCTTTTAAGCTACCAGCCCTATGCAGTATCCCAAATATCAGTGCCAAAACCAGAAGTGCATTCTCCTATTACATTAATAATAATTTTACAGTATGGTGGCAGGAAATGCACTTTCAGTTCACTGGCTATAGCTATTAAACTATGAGGAAATGACTGCCTGGAAGGCAGCCAGGTCCTTGGCTTAAAGGCCAACTCTGAGGAAGACAAAGGTAATACAAGAAGGGAAACTATGCCACCTGACCAAAAACGTTATTGAGACACTCTAGAGCAGTGCTTCTCAACTCTTTGTGGTGAAGGAACTTTTTTTTTTTAATTTCCAATCGGCCATGGACTTTTGTAAAATACGAAATGATGCACTTGGATAAAGCAGCAATGTGAAATGCTCTAAAAATGTCTAAATACTTACCATTTGTATACTTGATCAGTATAATTATATACTTATACGATTTATATACTTATTATACTTATCTCATAAGGGACTGGTAACAAACAGTTTTGGAACTGGTGTGTGGAACACATGCTGAATAGCACTGTTCCAGAGAGGGAGAAAGGATGAGAATTACATTTGCCATCCTATTCTTTTAGTATGGTTCAAGTGACATGCTAGAAAGGAACTATTCCTGCTGCTGGTAAGTACCAGAGATGTGTGTATGTTAAACATAAGATTGGTGGCCCTGCTTAACAAGATAGTAAACACTTGGCTATAAAGATAGTATCGATGAAAACAATTGCCATTTATAAACCATGTTTAAAGTAGTTTAATGATGAAATCTTGGCTAATCATATGAATATGGGGAAAAGTATGTTTGCCCAGAAGTAGGTGGTATCAAAAAGCATTTTCTCACAGTTATGTAATTACCAAGAATAGAGTTTAGGGAGTGACTCTACCAAGCAGGCAAAAGAGAGGACTTCCAAGAGAGTAATTTTGTCAGCAGAAACCTGGAATAACCCCAAGGTCAGAGGTAGTAAGGAGGGAAAGGGACTTGACAATAGGATGATAGATAGTATATTTCATTAAAGGAATGAGGAATAGTTACATGAATTCTTCCTCTATAAATGATGTTTGCTCCAAGACGAAGACTTCTAAAGGAAGAATTCTGACACTGAAGGCTATCATATTGGGAATCAGGGCCAAAGAACAGGGCAATACCTCATGGAATGTCTGACTGCTACATGGAATCAGAAGACAAGCTAACCATCCACCATGAAGGGGAAATACTGGCTTTTCTCTCTTTCCACGTACAATAAACAAGAGATAGGGCAATCAGATTCTGCATTAATTGCCAAGGGAACAAGGATTTTTCACATGTACAGAAAATATGAATTCCAGCTAAAAACATTTTCTAATCTAGGTCTTCATATGTAAATGTAAACAGGCAACCGAGAATCATCAAATTGAGTGAAAACCAAAAACATTAGATCCACCAGACTCAACCAACACAATAACTAATGGTTAAAGAAATAGTATGTGGAGAAAACAGAAGTGAACTATATGGATAAATAGGATTTAGAGAAAGATTTTTCACACTCAATCACACAATGCCCAATACATAATTAAATACCTTGGATCCATAAAATAAAAATAAGCTTTTACAAAAAAGGAAGTAATCAGAGTTCTTAGCTATAAGCAATATAATCCACTTGGGCTTTTCTAAAAGTAAACAAATACCTAATGAGTGGTAACTATGTGTTGGTTATTCTTTTAGGCACTGGGGATACAGCAGTGAGTAAAATAGACATTCCCTGTCCTTAAAGAGCTTATATTCCAGTCAGAGGCTAGAGATTATAAGGAAATAAACATATGATTGAGGTAGTGATGGCAGAGTAAGGGAGACAGCAAGTGACAGGGGTGTGTGTAAGTGTGTCTGTGTATGCATGTACGTATTATATAGATAGAGTGGGAAGAGAAGGCCTCTCTGATAAAGTAACATTTGAGCTAGGAATCAAAGGAAGTGATGAGGTGAATCAAGAGCAAGAGAAAAATATTCTGAGCAAAAGGAACACAAAATAAAAAAAATTTGAGGTGGAAGTATCTGGGGGTTTTGACTAATAGCAAGGACACCAGTTTGGCTTCAGTGGGCTGTGTGAGAAAGAGTGATAGAAATTGAGGTGAGGGCAATAAGAATAGGCCAAATTATATAGGACCTTGTAGACTATTGTATTTTGGCTTTCACTATGATTTTTGCCTGGGGAACTAGAATAACTAAGGTACTGTTTATTATAATGGAGAAAATTATAGGAGAATCAGTTAATTTTTGTTGGAGAATGAAGAGCTGAAGTTTTGGACATGTTAACTAGGAGATGTGTTTTAAATATTCAATTGGAGATTTTGAATACCCAGTGGGATACATTATTCTGGAGTTCAGAGGAGGGATCGAGTCTATAGATATTAATTTGAGAGTTATTTAAAGTCATGAGACTGCATGAGATCAGCTAAGGAATGAATGTAGATAAACAATAGAAGAGGACCAAGGATTGAGTCTTACATTACTTCAGTATTTTGCAGTTGGGAATTAAAATATCACCAGAATACATATACACCATAGAATACTACACAGTCATAAAAAAGAGTGAAATCATGTCCTTTGCAGCAACATGGATGCAGCTAGAAGCCATTATCCCAAGCAAACTAATGCAGGAACAGAAAACCAAATACCACATGTTCTCACTTACAAGTGGGAGCTAAACATTGGGTACACATGAACATAAAGATGGCAACAATAGGCACTGGAGACTAGTGCGGGGGGAAGGGAAGAGTGTAAGGGTTGAAAAACTAACTGTTGGGTACTATGCTCACTACCTGGGTGACGGGATCAGTTGTACCCCAAACCTCAGCATCACGCAATATACTCATGTAACAAACCTGCACATATACCCTCTGAACCTAAAAGTTGAAATCATTTAAAAAAATGAATTTAAAAATATCACCAGAGGACATTGAGATGAAATAAATAGTGAGATAGGAAAAGTATAAAGAGGCTACCTGAAAGCCAAGTAAAGAAAGTGTTTCAAGAAGGAGAGAATAATCAACCATGTAAATGATACCAACAGGTTAAGTAAGATGAACACTGATAATTAACCTTTGAATTTAGCAATATGGAGATCATTGGTAATGTCAGCAAGGGTAGCTTGTAAAACAATGTCATCAGTTAAGAGTGAGAATGGAGTACTAGATTTTGGAGGTTTAAGGAGAGAGCAGATGGTATAAAATAGACGGCTGGTGGGTTATAAAAATGTCACAGCATTGCCAAGCAGCTCGAAAAGTCCACTTGAGGTTAATGGTCATGAATTTAAAGAGCCTAACATTAAATGAATACCAAACCAGTTAACATGGAAACAGAAAAGGTGGAAAGTTGGATTTAGGCATGTTTGGATTTTTTCAGAGGTGACTATGATGAATTGAAAGAAGGGAAAAGAAGTTAATGGTATATGCTTGGAAGTGTAATTGTAATGATGAACCATGAAATCTAAAGTCAGGTAAGAAGAGAAGTGAGAACATGTGTAGAGTGAATGGCAGTAAAAAGTAATAGGGGTCAATGAATTTGAGGTCCCAGTAGGTTCAAGAAAATGTTGGAATTGGGGCATTAGAAGGAGTGAGCAGAAAAGACAGGAAAAGATGGCTTGAAAAGGGGATGCTGAAATTGAGATTGTGTAAGTAGTATAGCTATTTATTAAAAGAAGGCTGGAAAACCAAGCTTGAGGTTCAGCTTCCAGAAATAATGTCCAGGACCATTGCCACAGCACTGCCCTGATAAGAAAAACTGTTGCTCCTACAATTAGATGCCAAGAAATTGGCTTTACTGCAGCAGCTACTGCTGCCAGCACTGATGCCACTACTTTATTAAGAACTTGACCCTGCAATCTCTGCCATCCCCCAAAGTCAAGTCCCTTTGCTACTACCTATTCCAACAATGGAAACCATACAGTTCTACCTTCTGCATGGCTTCAATTCTGAATCAGTCTCATGTCAGGGCATCTTACTGGTAGAACATAAGTCATATTCCTACATTGTAGTTTCAACACAGACGTTTGAGTTGTGACTTCTACATTTAAGAGGTAAATATTATAATGTAAGAATTTTTTCCAAATATAGAAAGGCTATACATGATATGTTGGTCAGACACAAATATGACAAATGTTTACTATATAGATTTTTAAAATTAAAAATACAATTGCCAAAATATTTCCCCTTACTAAAGGGGTGACTAGTGGTATGTACACAACTGAAAACAGAATTACTTTGTTGAAGATTGGACATAGTGATTCTGCCAGGATGCAATATAAAAAAAGGAAATTGTATGAAAAAAGTAAGAGACATATAGATATTTATGAGAATCCCAATATCTGTTTAATGAGAGTTGGAAAGAAAAGGAAAGCAAGGGAAGGGAAATAAAATAAAATAAAATAAAATAAAATAAAATAAAATAAAATAAAATAAAATAAAATAAAGGAAAGGAAAAGGAAAGGAGGGGATGAAGAAATCAAATAATGGACTAAAATTTCCTTAAATTGAAAAAGGACTTAAGTGTTCAGATTGAAAGAGCCCACCAAGTCTCAAGTAGCAACAATGGGAAGAATGACACATGTCTAGACAGATTCTGGTAAAAATTTTAAACTATAAAGTCAAAGTGAATATCCTCTTCCAGGCACCTTGGTGTAGCACATAAGCTACATATCCCTATGGGGTAGCTCTATTGGATCGCTAACTCACCCCTTCACCAAAATTAACTCAAATGGATCAAAGAGCTATCAAAAAATATGAAATCATCAAAAGATAAGAAATACTAAAAAAAAAAGCACAAGGAGATAAGGCACAAAACCTAGATGCTATAATTCCATAATGGAAAACATGATCGATGAGTTTGACTGCATAACAATTTAAAACATTTGCAAAGCATGGAGTATTATAAGTTAATTAAAAAGACCAATGGCAAAGTGATAAAAAAGTAATGTTTATGCTATAGGTTTAATGTCTTGATATATATATATATAACTATTGATATTTAAATGTATCTATTAAGTTCTTACAGATCCATAATAAGAAAAAATAGAAAAAATGGACAAAGAACAAGAAAATACAGTTCTCAAAATGAGACATATAAATAGCCAATATTTATATTTAAAAGTATTGAATCTCACTCAAATTTTTTAAAACTCAAGATATCATTTTTTACTTCTCAGATAGAAAAAGGTTGAGAAATTTGATAATATACTTGGTTGGCAAGAGTGTGAGAAAATGAGCATTCTCCTAAACTCCTTACCAGTAAGCTTTTTGGAGAGCAATTTGGCAATATTAATCAACATTTCAAAACATGTATTTGTCCCAGCATTTTCTCTTTAGAAATTTGTGCTATAGATATATTAGCACAAATATCCAAAATACATGTAAAAGATATTTATTGCAGCATTTTTGTAATACCAAAAGTCTGAAAACAATCTAAATATTTATTAGTTAGAGACAGGTACTTCTGGCAAAGAGAAGAGTCAAATATAACAGGAGTCTGTTTGCATGAGGACTAAACAGTCTCCCAAATGTATTCTTTAAAAAACAGCTTTATTGAAACATAATTCACATGCAATAAGTCACCCATGTAATGTGCACAATTTAATAGTTTTTAGTATATTCTCAACGTTGTACAACTATCACCACTATCTTATACCATAATGTTTTCATCAACCCAAAAAGAAACCCTGTACCCATTAGAAGTCACTCACAATTTCTCCTTTCCCTCAGTCCCTGAAACCACAAATTGACTTTTCTTTGTGGATTTGCATTTTCTGGACATTCACATAAATGAATATTATAATATATGACCTTTTGTGTCTGGCTTCTTTCATTTATTGTGATGTTTTCAAGGTTCATTCATATTGTAGGATGTATCAGTGCTTCGTCCTTTTGTGTCTAGAAAATATTCCATTGTATGGATAGGTCACGTTTTGTTTAGCCTGTCCTACTGAACAATCTTTCAACAATTATTCTGAATAATCCTATTGAACATTCATGTACATGTTTTTGTATAGACACATGTTTTCAACTTTTTTGGTTATATATCTAGGAATGGAATTACTAGATCATATGATAACTTCATGTTTAACATTTCAAGAAAATTCCAAACTGTCTTCCAAAGTGGCTGCACCACTCACAAAGTGCTGTGAGATTTACAATCTCACCAGCAGTGTATGAGGCTTCCAATTTCTTCACATCCTCACTACCACGTGTGATTGTCTGTTGTTTTGATTTTGGCCATTCTAGTGGGTATTAAGTTGTATCTAATTTTGTTTCTGCTTTGCATTCCCCTAATGACTGATGTTATTGAGCATGTTTTCATGCACATATTGGCCATTTGTGTGTCTTTGAAGAGATGTCTATTCAAATCCTTTGCGCATTTTTCCATTTGTTTCTTTGTTTTAGTTGTTGAGTTGAAGATCTTTATCTATTGTGGATACAAGTTCCTTATCAGATATATGACTGGTAAACATTTTCTCCTATTCTGTGGGTTGCATTTTCACATTATTGATTATATTTTTGGCAGGAAAAAAAGGTTTTGATTTTGAAGAAACGTAATTTATCTATTTCTTCTTTTGTCACTTGTGCTTTTCTTGTTGCGTCTAGGAATACTATGCCTAATCCAAGGTCACAAATATTTACTCCTATGTTTTATTCTAAGAGTTTTGTAGTTTTGGCTCATACATTTATGTCTATGATTTTGAGTTAATTTTTTGTACAGCATATGATTTGAAGTAGGAGTCCAACTTCATTCTTTTGCATGTGGCTATTCAGTTGTTGCAGCACCATTTGTTGAAGAGATTATTCTTTCTCCATTAAATTGTGCTGACTCCCTTGTAGAAAATCAATGGATCATAAACGTAAGGTTTTATTTCTGGACTCTCAATTATATTACATTTGACTATATGTATATCCTTATTCCAGTACTATACCATCTTGATTACTGTAGTATTGTAGTAAGCTTTGAAGTCAGAAAGATTTAATACTTTTATTTTGTTCTTCCTTTTCAAGATTGTTTTGACTATTCTGTACCCCTTGCATTTCCATATGAATTTTAGGGTTCATTCATGAATTTTTGCAAAAAAATCTGGCTGGGACTTTGATAGGGATTATGTTTTCTGTAGATCACTTTGGAGAGTATTTCTATCTTAACAATATTAAATCTTTCAATCTACGAATATGGAGTGTCTTTCCATTTATATAGGTCTGCTTTAACTTCTTTCAACAATGTTCTGTGGTTTTCAGTGTATGTCTTGTATTTTTTTGTTAAATGTATTCTTATTTTATTCTTTTAGATGCTATTGTAAATGGAGTTGTTTTCTTAATTGCATTTTCAGGTTGTTCATTGCTAGTGTATAGATATACAACTTACTTTTGTATATTGATTAATCTTGTATATTGCCATGTAGCTGAACTTGTGTGTGTGTGTGTGTATTTTAAATAGGGAATTTGCTATGGAAGTTTGTTACAAATAGATATATATAATTGCAAAAATAATTTTGTGTGCATACTCACACGTGCGTGCACACACACACACACACCCTGTAGGCTGTTGGGTAACAGCAGTGGAAAAAATAAGTAAAAAGTCTAACTGGAGAGTAATGAGATTACTAGTGCCTAAATCTCAGAATTCTTAGTCAAAACTTGCAGTAAAAAGTGAAAGTGAACACATCCCAGTTTAATCTTTTACCCCAATGTCTTTAAATTGCTTCGCATTTTACTTTATTAAAAGCAAAAGTTAATCTTCTTTATCAGCTCAGAGCTATTTTAGATGCTTCCCAATCTTCAGTCTTCCTTCCCCTGTAACTACTCCCTCTTTATTTAGAAGGCATACAATAGACATTAACCCTAATGTAGAGAAGTAGTGTGGCATGGGAGTTGAGGGTATGGGCTCTGGAGTTAAACTGCTTGGGTTCAAATCTCATTTATGCTATATATTTGCTGTTTTGCCTAAAACATACCTTTACCTCTCTTGGCCTCAGTTGCCCTATTCTAAAATGTGGGTTATTTTGGCACCTTCCTTAGAGGATTTTTGTGAGATTATGTATATAAAATACCTGAAACAATACACTGTAAATGCTCAATAAATGCAAGGATGTCATTAATATTACATGTCAACCAGTTGGCATATAAGGAGATCTGTCTCCAGCCTGGGAAGATTTTAAAATAAGCAAACAAAGCATCTTATTTTTAGCCTTTGGGCATCTGCTTTTCCTTGGCTTGTTGGAGAGAGTGTTCCTAAGGGATTCCCTTTTTAAAAGTTGGGGGCATGAAGAAGAAAGTGCCAGAGGGAGACAGTGAAAGACTCCAAGAAAGCAGAGAAGACAAATAGAAAGGAGAAGAAAGTTAGAAGGAGGAGAAACCAAAGAGGCCAGGGAGAGGAAAGTAGGTGGCTGGGGAGAGAAAGTATAACAAGAATAAAGTTCATGAAGGTAGGATGGTTGGGGGAGACCTTGTAATACAGAGCTAAGAACTTTATTGAAGTTTAACAGAAAAGAAACCCTTGTTTGAAAGGAAGAGATTGGCTATATTTAGTACTGGGTAGGATGTCAGTTCTGAAAATAAACTGCTCCCAGAACTGAAAGCAATCCTCTGCACTGTTGTCACCTGCAGCATGCTGGCCTCCCTTATAGAGGAGAGTGGAAAATGGTCATATCAGCTACCTCAGAGTTTCTGACATTCACAAGGACTTGCCCCACTTTGTCTCCTTGTCCCATTCCTAAGTTTTAAAACTTCTGATTAATGAGAAAATAATTTATACAGCTGAGAAAAGTGAAGTATATGTTGGTGTGTATGTGGAGCAGGGAAGTATCCTGCTAAGTTAATACAGGAATCTAAACACCATGTGGCCAGGTGCTTAATGCAATATTCACCACATCCATGGTACACATCTGGCATACCACTGTAGACACAGGGACCTAGTCAGAAGTATGACAGGCCATATATAAAGATATATTTGAAGCATCCGATAGGTGTCATAGAGGTAAGTTCTCTATGCAGATGTCATGCTTGTGTGACTTAGGGAACTCACATAGGGCATGCAGATAGGCTCAGGTTAGGATACA
Organism: Homo sapiens; assembly: GCF_000001405.40. Lineage (NCBI taxonomy): Eukaryota > Metazoa > Chordata > Mammalia > Primates > Hominidae > Homo > Homo sapiens. Next base: position 56,943,130 of record NC_000024.10, read on the forward strand.
TTAGGAAAAGACAGAGAATTCATGATTTGAGCCATCAAAAACAGAATGCATGTGGAGGAGGATGGAAATGAGGAGAAAGTTTTCCTTTTCCAACAGGAATAAATATAATTGTGTTCATAGGTACAATGCCATCTACTGCTCCTTTACAAGACACAGAGACTTACAGGTACATTTAGATACATACACACACAAATACAAACAACATATGTTGTGTTGGGAAAATATAGGTGATGCCTTTCACTGAATGAGAAAAAAAAACTAGAAAATGGGTATTTTGATGGAACAAAATATAACTAGAATTCTAACTTCTAACTTTAATTCATCACTTCCACTATTACCACTCTCTCATCTAGACAGTTGCGATAGCTCCCTAATTGTTTTCCTGCTTCCAACATAAACCCCTCTTCTGAATATATACTCTACAGGGCAGCCAGAGAGATCTTTTTAAAATCACAAGTCATATTCTGTCATTCCTCTGCACAAAACCCTACAATATCTTCTCAGCTCACCCTGAGTAAAATGCAAAATATTTAACATGGTCTGCAAGACTCCACGTGATGTAACCCTCTGATACCTCTCTGGTTTCATTTACTACTAATCTTCCCTCACCCTTCCCACTCTAGGCATAGGCGTGCTGATCTCTTTGCTCCTCCTAGAACACATCAAGTACATTCTGGCCTCAGGGATTTGCATTTACTGTTTCCTCTCTGTGGGAGAAGCCTTCCCCATATAGCTGGATGGCTTGCTCCCTCACTTTGAGACTCACCTCAAATGTCACTTAGTGAGGGAGACTTTCCATAACCATCATATATAAAATAGCAATTCTCCTCACCCTTTGTCATGTTTGATGGAGAAAGGAAGATAACGAGTACAGCTGTCTGATAGGTAGTTGGATATGTGGGTCTAGAGTTCAGCTAGAGGTCTGAGCCAGAGATGTAGATTTGGTATTTTCCATCACCCCAGGCAAGGAGAATAATGCTTGTAATGGTCTGGAGGTGATGGATGTATCATGCTTTCTGCATGATACATCCAAGGATCATTTGGGACTTTTTGAAAATGCAGCTTCTCTGGGTCTCACTCAAGATCTCTGAACAAAAAATCTCTGGAGGCAAGGTTTAGGAGTATGTAGCTTGATAAAGTTCCATATATAATTCTGATGTGCAGCCCTGCCTGAGAATCACACTCTAAAAAGAAACACGCACCTCCACCAAATTTACTAGTAATTCCAACAGAGTGGTCACATGAGATGGGTGCCCATCAGCAGTGGATTGGATAAACAAGTATATATTTCCTCCACATCTCAGTAAATGGAACAACTTTTCTTCATCCACACAGTCCCTACAATGATTCAGGCCACAGTCATCTCTGACTTGACTTATTGACAGATTCTATTGCAGTTTATGTGTTTATATAACTGTATTTCTCTTCAGTATTAGGCCATTTTGGCTAGCCCATCATTATTTAACCCCTCTGTTCTTCTATCCATTTGTTTTAGCAGACTGTGAGTAATGAGAGGATGAAACGATTCATTTATTCGTTCAACCAATATGTATTGATAACCTACTACATGGCATACCATGTCACATTCATTTCCGTATCTCACATATCAAGTATATTGCCTTACCTTAAGTATGTACTCCATATATGTTTGTTTTATATTCAAACTTACTGTGTCACAGATAAGGAAAATAGGGCCTAGAGATGAAGAATGACTTGCTAAAGCCACACAGCAGGTAAGTCCAGTTTTCTCTACATAGAACCACTTTGTCCCTCCCTCACACACTTCCATTATTGGTAACATTGCTCCTAAACTATTTGTCAGCTTCTGTGGCAAAGAAATAATTATCTCCATCCCCATAGGCTTTTCAGTTAAGAATCTATGTTCCCTTGGCATTGCTTACAATGCTGGTGTCACCACTGCTGAATCAGGATGTCCACAGATCAGCTTTTTATCTGGCACTTCTAAAGAGCTCCTGCTGACTTCAATAGAATATGGATAGAGCTGGCCTCCTATAGGAACTTTCAGGCTCTCAAATGGATTTGGGATGTGTCCTGGGAGAAAGAGAATGAGGAAAGACTTTCAGAATTTGTGTGGAAGCATGTGTTTTATAAAAACAAAACATGACAAAATGAGTTATAAGAGAGAATTGATTGGGTTTATGGATGAAGTTCCTGATAATGATTACTTTTGACACTATATTGGACTATCACATAAAGTTGGTTCTTTATGTCTAATCTATTTCCACTTGCTACAATTTAGTAAAAACCTAAATAAGTTTAGTACATTCTAGGAATATAAATAAGTCATGCAATGTGTAGCCTTCTAGAGAAAATTTCTGCTTCTAATTTGCTCAAGCTGAGTGTAAGGGACCCTCTTAGAATGGTTTAGAAACATGTTGTTTTGACATCTTTATATCTTTGTGCATGCCGTTTCTCTGCTCTCAATGGATCTTATTAATTCTTTTTTTTTTTTTTGACTCTTACACTGTTGCCCAGGCTGGAGTGCAGTGGCACAATCTCACTGCAACCTCTGCCTCCCGAGTAGCTGGGATTACAAGCGCCCACCATCACGCCCGGCTAATTTTTGTATTTTTAGTAGAGACTGGGTTTTGCCATGTTGGCCAGGCTGGTCTCAAACTCCTGACCTCAAGTGATCCACCCACCTCGACCTCCCAAAATGCTGGGATTACAGGCATAAACCATCACACCTGGCCAAATTTATATTTAAATATCACTTTTTCTTGTAAGCATTTTATAATCTCCTCAATTACTGCATTAGGTATATTTCCTCTCTGCTCCTTTCCAAAACACATGTCACCCTTTGTTACATTTGTCTATTGGCTAGCTTTCCTACTAAATTATGAGCCCCTTGAAAACAGGGATTCATTTATTAATTATATATTAACTAATAACATATCGCTATATATATATCTATATTAATAACATGTAACAAATTCATTTATTATTGTATCTTAATTTATTACTGTATCACCAGAGCCTGGTACAAAGCTGTCCCTCAATATATGTTTGCTGATTGTTGAATGAATCAAGGAGCTCCTAATTTAGTAAAGGAAATAGGCATGGAATCATGTAAATTATATTACCATATGATGACGGCAAAAATAGAAGTATGTTTACCAGGTGAATTTATTTACTAATTCCTTTATTCCTCCATTCAACACACACAGAGGACTTCTGTCCCAAGTCTATTGGGAAACACAGAGAAGTAAGTAAGCCATTTAAATATAGTGCAGTACATGCTCTGACAACAGTTAAGTACATCCTCTATGACTCAATTGAAAAAAATACTTCCTCCAGGAAGCCTTCCTTGACTTCTTCAGATAGAGTTTGATTTCTCTTGTCTTTATCTCTCATCTGTATCCCTAAACTTTATGTGCTTTCTTCAAATATAATGAATATTATGTTCTACATCTATTGTAATCACTGGTTTTAATGTGTTTGACTTTTCCACAAGCCAATGAGCCCCTTGAGGGCAGAGCCATTTTGATGCACACTGGAATAGAGTAGTAATCTCTCAGAAAATAATAGTAATGCCTACCATTTGTTGAGTGCCTATATTACTTATTACTTACATTATCTCAAGTCATTCTGTTTTCAACAAAGACTTTATTGTCCCTATTTTACAAATGAAGAAACTGAGGCTCAGAGGCTTAAGTAAGTTAACCAAGTATCACAAAACTAATTTATGGAACTGGTTGTAAGCCCAGGTCTGACTTCCAAGGCCTTAGCATAAGGATTGGCTTAGCTTTGGAATTGTTTTCTATAGTTACTATTTATTTGAACCTTGAAGTACATTAAACTTAGGGGGACTCAGTTGGCAGATTCTTAACCAGGTTTCAGGTGCTTAGATCCTTTTTCAGCAGAGATAATTCCAGGTAAAACTGTAACAGCGACAAAGTTTGTGTCTTTCTTTGACTCTAAAGCAGAGATCCCTAAACTTTTTGGCACCAGGGACCGGTTTTGTGGAAGACAATTTTTCCACCACGGTGGTGGTAGGAGGGGATGGTTTGGAGATGAAACTTTTCCGCCTCAGATTGTCAGGCATTAGTTAGATTCTCATAAGGAGCATGCAGCTTAGACCCCTCTCCTGTGCAGCTCACAATAGGGTTCACGCTCCTATGAAAATCTAATGCCACTGCTGATTTGACAGGAGGTGGAGCTCAGGTAGTCATGCTCCCTCAGGGGCCACTCACCTCTTGCTGTGTGGCCTGGTTCCTAACAGGCCGCCGACCCCTACCGGTCCATGGTCTGCGGGCTGGGGACCCATGCTTTAAAGTACATGCCATGATTTGGTCCAAAATGTCAATCCTTATACATTTTCCTGGAATTTGTCTCTAATATTGAATGCTTTTAAACTTCCTTCTTCATTTATTTTTTCCCATTGACTCCTTCCTTTCACTTGAAAATCCACTGGGTTATCCTGTGTTGAAATCTTATAACTCTGCCATGATTTTTTAGTTTCCTCTCAACATACTGAGATTTGACATTTTACCCCACCACCAAAACCATTTTCAATAAGTCACCAATACCCTATGGGGCTAAATTCATTGAATACTTTAAATTACCTATCCTAATTTCTCTTCACTATTAGCCCATTTTGACTACCCCATCTTTATTGAAACTCTCTCTGCTCTTCTGTGACAATGTGTATCCTGATTCCTTTCTAACATCTGCTTACTCCTTCTCTTGTTTCTTCACTGATTCTTCTTATTTTAATTTCAATTTCATTTTAGATTCAAAAAAAACAGAATTTGTTCTTTTTCATGGCTGCATAGTATTCCATGGTGTATATGTGCCTTATTTTCTTTATCCAGTCTACCACTGATGGGCACCTAGGTTGATTCCATGTCTTTGCTATTGTGAATAGTACTGTGATGAACAGGCACATGCATGTGTCTTTTTGGTAGAACTATTTATTTTCCTTTGGTTATATACCCAATAGTGGGATTGCTGGGTCGAATGGTAGTTCTATTTTAAGCTTTTTGAGAAATCTCCAAACTGCTTTCCAAAGTAGTTGAACTAATTTACATTCTCAACAACAGTGCATAAGTGTTCCCTTTTCTCTGCAGCCTTGCCAGCACCTATTTTTTTTTTTTTTTTACTTTTTAATAGTAGCCATTCTGACTGGTGTGAGATGGTATCTCATTGTGGTTTTGATTTGCATTTTTCTGATTAGTGATATGGAGCATTTTTTCATATGTTTGTTGGCTATATGATTCTTCTTTATCCTTTTGCTCTCTAACTGTTCCACATGGTAACACAGTCCTTTTCACTCTCCCTTTCCTCTACCTCAGCAATTTCATCCATTTTCAAAACTCCAATGATCTCTTTCGTGTTAACAAGCCTTAAAATTCCTCAAGTTCCTCTCCTGTCTTGTCACTTAAATTCTAGTACCATATCTCTAACTTTGTACCAAATATTCCTACTTGAAAATGTCTCATCTTTACCTCAAATTCAACACTTCTAAAGAATAACTCAAAGATCTCATTATCTTCCCTATTTATGGTATAGTGAAAGGAATACTAGACCAAGTGTCAGGAGACTTGGATTCTACTCCTGGCTCTGCCACTAACTTGGTATTTCCTGGTTTTTCTCAACAAGAGTTTATCTTATGAAAATCACAGTAAACAGTACTTTGAAGGGGTCATATATGAATCTTCAAGGAGCTAATTCTAGTTGGAAAGATAAGACATATACATAAGTTACTACAGTACAAATTAAAAAGTGATAAATACCGTAAGAGAAGTATAACTACATTGTCATGAGAGTTCAGAGGTATTTCTGGATGATGAGACAATGAATTATATTGTAGAGAAAATAATATTTGATGTAGTCTTTGGACTATTTGGAGGCAGAAACAATAATACCTGATTCATTTATGAGTGGAGGCTAACAGAGAGAAAGGTTAAATAGATGCTAAAGCTTCAAACTTGTGTAACTAAAGCATTTGTGATGTCATCTCAAATAAAAGAGAAATCAGGATGAGCAGGTAGCTTGTGGTTTTGAATACAATTTTATAATTGAGGTTGGTCTCACACCAGTCCGAATGGCTATTATTAAGAAGTCAAAAATCAACAGATGTTGGCAAGGCTGCAGATAAAAGAGTATGCTTATACACTGTTGGTGGGAATATAAATATAAATTAGTTCAACCACTGTAGAAAGCAGTTTGGAGGTTTCTCAAAAAAAACTTAAAACAGAACCACCATTCAACCCAGCAATCCTAATATTGGGTATATATCCAAAGGAAAATAAATCATTCTACCAGAAAGACACATGCACTCATATGTTCTTTGCAGCACTATTCACAATGGCAAAGACATGGAATCAATCAACCTGGGTGCCCATCAGCAGTGGATTGGATAAAGAAAATATGGTACACCATGGAATACTATGCAGCCACAAAAAAGAACAAAATCATGTTCTTCGCTGCAACATGGATGCAGCTGGAGGCCATTTTCCTAAGTGAAATAATACAGGAACAACAAAAAAAAACCCCTCATGTTCTCACTTATAAGTGGGAGCTTAACATTGGGTACTCAGGGACATAAAGATGGCAATTGGGTAGCCTGCTTACTACCTGGGTGACAGGATTAATCATACCCCAGCCAAAGTTCTTTACAACTCTAATATCATATATTTATTCCTTTAAACTGACCTCCCCCTTCCAACTTCTCAGTATGCAATGGTATCATATTCAACTGAAAACATCTCATCCTTACTTCCCATTCTCACTGTCAATTCCCTAACCAGGCCCTTATCATCTTCTGTTTAGATTACTCCAAAATACCCCAATTTGGCTGACCTGACTCTAGTATCTCCCCACTCCTATATATCATGCCCAGTGTATCTTTCTTAAATGTGGCTTATTTTCATATTTTATTCCTTTGTTCTAAAATTTATTTCTAATTCCCAGAGCATTAAGTCTAAATTGCCTGTCATTCGAGTTATTCTCCAGCACTATATATTCCAATCCTCTCTTCAATATACCTCTTACATAAGACAGTTTGAATGTTTCACTCTTTGCAGACTCCATGCACATTGCTACCAATCCAGATTTCCATGTGAATTCCTTCATGTGAATTATATATGGTTATTCATTTTCTGCCCAGATCTCAATTCCTCTTTGAATCCTTACCTATCTAATTTATTTCAACATTTGTAACTCCTTCATCACTTTCACCCATGCCCTAGTCTCTTTTTCAGTATGCTCTGTTAGATATACTCTCCCTTCTTTCAATATGTTTTTGAGTTAACTGTCATATCAGAAATGATCTGAACAACCGGTTACTACAAAGCATGGAAAGGTGTATTTTATTCATTACAAAATCATAACTCAGAGGTTTCTAAAACAGACTTAGTAAAGAAGATATTTCCAAGGCAGGGTGACTTTTCTGGTGTCCTTCAAGGTTACTTATTTATTTATTGAAAATCAATGGCTTTCAGAAATAGATGTGTTGATCTGTGCTGAGACAATATATCCAAATTCAACTGGAATTGAATTAATGTCAGCAAGGTGCCTTAAAAAGAGAAAGAAGGCATTGGATTGGGAAACAGGAGACCTGTGTTCACTACTAGGCCCAATGCTGCCACTTACTAGCTGTATGATCTTGGACAACTCAATGAATCTGTCAAAATATGTTTTCTGAAGAGTACACCATTAACTAAGGAGCTAAGAAAACAAATTTTCTGAAGTGCACTGCTACAACAATCTAACAAGTTTGTAAAAGAAGTTGTCTGGCAATACATAGTGAGTTTTGTAATGTCTCAACATCAAATTTCTGTATATAATTGTACTATAGTGATAGCCTATCAAAAATCACGGAACTTCGAGTTGTCTTTTAGAAACAAAACAGCTTAAAGAACAAATAAAGATATTCATGTAGATTTCCAAAAATTGGTTATCCATTCATTCAATAAGTATTAATTTAGTGATCAGTATGCTAGGCCTTGGGGATGTGGCAGTGAAGACAAATATAATAAATATTATATCTGCCCTCAAAGAGATCACTGTCTAAATTGGGAGACAGACAATTATAATAAAGTGTGATAAGTTCTGCAATGATGGTAAGCACAAAGGGGGCCTCTGGAGCACAAAGAAGAGGACAAATCTGTTCTAAACTGGTCTTTTGAAGAGAGAGGTGATTAGGCAAGGCTTTTCCTGCAATAAGTGACTGCTAGGCCTATAGGATATTCAGGAATATTATCTTAGTCTTATTGGGCTACTGTAACAAAATACCTTTGACTAGATAACTTATAAACAACAGAAATGTATTTCTTACAGTTGTAAAGGCTGGGAAGTCCAAGATTAAGGTGTTACCAGTGTCTGGGGGAGTCCGACTTCCTCATAGACAGCACCTTCTCACTGTGTCCTCACATGATGGAAGTGCCAAGGCAGGTCTTCGGGGCCTCTTTTATAAGAGAACTAATCCCATTCATGAGGGCTCCACATACATTATTTAGTCACCTCCCAAAGGCCCCACCTCCTAATATTATCATATTGGTAGATAGGTTTCAACACAGGAATTTTGGAGAGACACAAATATTCAGACCATAGCATTTACCAAATAATTTTTAAAAGTTAGAACAAAAATCCCTGAAGGGATTTGCAGATGGTTGGATACTGTGGTATAGTGGTTAAAAGTACAAGCTCTGGAGTGAGACAGCCTGAGTCAGCCTGAGTTAAAATCCTAGATCTGCAAACTGCCAACTGTGTAACCTTGGACAAGTTACTTAAGGTCTTTGGACCTTGGTTTCTCATTTTAAAAATCAGTATAATTCATTAATATGCCTCATAGGTTTGTTGTGAGAATTAAATAGGTTAAAACATGTAAAATTCATAGAACAGCACCTGGCAAAGAGTAAACATGTCACCCTGCCCACTTGAATGTCAATTCCAGGAGCGCAGGAAATCTAGCTGTTGAATTACTAGCCTTTAGTGAGTGGCCCATAGCAGGCATGGTTGAATGAATGAATGATCATCAATTTAACTTTTTTTGTCATGGGTATCATCCTAAGAGGTAAGAAGGCTGAATAATCCCAATTGTTTTCATTGTTGCCTTAATATAGGCCCACAGAGTAAAGGAGGGAAAGGAATTAGGCAACCCAGCTATTCAACTTTAAAGCTAGACTTTAAAACATAAAAGGGCTTCAAATTGAAATCATCTCTTGCCTCTCCTATGGGTTACATTAGAGCAAGAACAATTTCTTAACATTCATAGCTACTATTCATGGGGTGCTTGCTATATGCCAGAGAGGTTAATTGAATTGCCTCAAGGGAGGTAGCTCCCAGGTTGAGGAGCAAAAATTTGAACCCTGATCTATTTGACCTGAATCTAGTTAGTACAGTGCTTGACACATAGTTAATGTGCAATAAATATTTGTTGAATAAGTGTAGATGAACCTACAGTGAATCACAAAAGAGAATTTACAGGAGATTTCCTGACTAGAAATTCCAAATGGGAAAAGAGAGCTGGATTTGTTTAGAAATTACACACACGCACATACACAGGCATGCACGCATGCACACACACATATACCTACATACATGTCATCACAACTGTTTGGAGCACCTTAAACACATACATACACACAGGAGCATGCAGACCCACACAGCCGTACTTTTTTAAATCTCATTATTTCTTTTGTCTTCTTAACACATCTGAGAGAGGGTAAATGACAGAGTGTCAGAGGTAGAAAGGACGTTAGCAATTACCTAATCAGATCCCCTCATGTTAATGTAAAAATTGACACTCTAGAGGGGAAGAAAATTGCTAAGGTCACACAAGGAGTCAGAATAAGATTAAGAGTCTCAGTTTCCTGACTCACACAGTTTGTTTTACTCTGAACTGTCACCATTTACCATCTCAATTTTATAGATGAGGTAACCAAAGCATCCTAAGAATGCTGATGGCCAAGCTCCTGCCACTTGTCCATTGAAATAGGACTTGAAATCAGATCTCCTTTATTTTAAATATAAAGCTGCTGTCATCCAAGTTCTTCTGTCTGGATGCCCAGAAGAAAGATCCTTTCCTATTGAATTAAATAGTGGACTGAGGGTAATTTACAGAAAGCTTTGTCCTTGGCTTTAAGAGAAAATGTCCAAGGCTGCTTTATTTTCAGTCCCAGGGAGGCTGCATGAAGGCAGGAATCCACAACACCTAGCACAAAGGAAGGTACTCAATAAATATTTGTTGTTGAATGCATGCCATGCTAAAGGGAAAGTAGGTTGGGTAATGGTTTCCCAGTGGCAATGGATGGGCTGAAAAAGTGGGAACACATGAGGAAGAGGTGGGAGGAACCCTTAAACAAAGGAGAAGCTCTTTCTCTTCATCTTATTGAAGCTGCAATCACTCGGCACAGGCTGAGTAGATTGGTAGAAATGTGATTGGCAAAGATATTTAAATGAGACCTCCTTAAAATTGTTACTCTCCACCCCACCCCCACGTTCCTTTAAATTTTGTTTCAGTCATTACCCAGGGACCGGATACAGAGATTCCTATGGGGAGTTTTAATGGGTCGATTCAATTTCATCTGGATGACGCCACTTCGCCAAGCATTAAGAGCTACAGCTCCGGGAAAGCCAACGACACGCGGGGGGAGGGGGGAGAGAAAGAAATTATAACGAGGAGCAATAAATCCCTTCTTTCCCATCCTCCCCTATAACCCATTCACAAGACCTCCAGAAATCATCTACATTCACAAAACGGCCAGCTAGCTAAGCTGAACACACTGCCAACTCACTCCCTGCCCCCACTGCAGATTATATACCAACACACCCTGAGCCATATAAATAATCACACACTGGCGGTATCTATTGCTCCGTTGAGATACCCTGTGTCTACAACTGCAGTTTCTGCTGCTTCGGTTCATCTGTCAGATTGGAGGAGAGGGAGACCAAGGTGGAGGCGGAGGCGGAGGCGAAAGAGGAGGGGGAGGAGGTAAAGGAGGAAGAAGGGGAGGAGGGAAAGGGGAGGGCAAGAGGAGGGGAAGGAAAATACTGGAGGGGGAGGGGGAAGAGAAACAGGAGGAGGAGGAGAAGGGGGAGGAGAAAGAGGCGGAGGAGGAGGAGAAAGAAGAGGAGGAGGAGAAAGAGGAGGAGGAGGAGAGAGAGGAGGAGGAGGAGAGAGAGGAGGAGGAGGAGAAAGAGGAGGAGGTGAACAACTTACCCTGCTGAGCTTTCTTTGGGAAATACGTCCATCAAGATTTAGATCTGCCTGTAAAATCTATACAAAGTATATGCCACTACAGGTTTGACTCGCCCCCTCCCCCGTTTTTTTGTTTTGTTTTGTTTTGTTTTGTTTTGTTTTGTGTTTTCTCTGCTGTGTCAAAGAACAAGACAGAACTATCTCTGTTTCTGGCTCCACTGCCTGCCAGTGAAGGAGTTTTCATTCAGACTTTCCGAAGAGAGGTGGAGAAACCTAAAGACTGAGGAGAAGAGATCCTTTGAGCCAGATGGGGCATTAGTTCTTCTGCTTTTCTCAGCATGGATAAACCATTTCCTCAAGGTAAGCCATAGAAATTAGCTCTTTAAAAACCCAGAATTCTTTCTATGCAATGCACAGATTGCCATTCATTCCAGCCATCCTGTGCTGTCTCTGTGTGCGTGTGTGTGCCGCGCGCTTGGGCGCGCGCGCGCAAGCGCATGGATAAAATAAAATGAAAACCCTTTAAATTATATTTAAATAAATCGGCTCTCGCAGAAAACTATCCACATTGGAAATGTGTAAATCCAAATAGGACTTCAAAATAATATTTTTCTAGGCGAATGTCAATTTAATTTCTAGCCTGTTAACCTTTAAATGCATTTTGGTACTTGCCTAAACCCCTCAAAACGCAGCCTAACCACCCAAGCTGAGGACAGAGAGAGAGCCCGTGCTAAGGCCAGTCTGGCTGCCCAGCGGGCATCCTGTCAGCATGGGGCTAGCCTCTGCTATTGGCTCACAAGTCTGGGCTGTGCATCGTTCAGATTTCATCACATCACCTTGCCCTGGGTAGACATGGCGCAAGCTGACACGGCAGAACCCCCCACTTACATTGAGTCAGAGCAGTGATTTAGAAATCTCTGTATCCGTGCCTGGGTACGTGTGCACATGTCTCTGTGTGGCATATGGAGATTCTGTCAAAAGTGAGAACCTGTGAGCACGTCTAGTTAGCCAATAGGCATTTGATAAGACCTAGGGCAATGGTTTACTGCACACTCACTTCCATGAAGCTAATTATAATTATCATTCTTCACCTCTGCATGCTGCAAACCAAGTTGGATGAACAGAAAACAGACCTTGAACTCTTAAGCAGAAAATCTATTTTGAAATGGAAACTATTGTTGCTTTTCTGGTAATATTAAAACCTCACTGTATCATGATGTGTTATCACATGAATTTGGATATACCAGGTGTTAAATCATGTTCCCAAAAAGTCGGCTGCATTCATAAATACAAATAAGGCACAGGCTAGCCGTTTATCCACAATGAAATATTGGTCTTGCTCTCCTTGCCTCTAAACAAACATATACAAAGACATTACTATAACATTCTATATATTTGTCTCTTTGTGTTCTGTTTTTAGGTCTCTCTAGCTGTGAAACAGTCTAGATAGTGATCTGAGTGACTTAGATTTGAAGATATTTATTAAGAGTTGAGGAGTTGAGTAGTGAGGAAGTAAAGAACCTAAAGGAAAGGACACTAATTCTTCCTTAAAGACTTTTGAAACAGAGAAATGCAACCAACAAACCCAACATAAAATTTAGAGCATCTGGACAAGAAAGGCCTTTAAAAACCCTCCTTTTATTTTGCAGATGAAGAAACTGAGGACCAGAACGGAGGTCATTTGCCTACAGCCACGCAGCAAAGTAGAGCTACCATTAGGACTAGACCTTAAATTTCTTGTGTCATATAAAAGGATTTGAGTTTTTAAAAAAAAAATCCTACTTCTTAGATGAACAACCAGCTTCTTCTTACAATTTTCCTCAGGATTAGATGTGAATTCATTTGGTATTACAAATTTTCCCTGTATCATTCATCACTAAAAGACCTATATCTTTTAACATTCAAGGTCTTAAAACTGCAAGACTCCCTGGTTTGAAATAAACTGCTATGAGTCTTAATGAAACCATTAAAGTAATGAATAGGACTAGGGTAGCAAAGTGACAAGTTAAGAGTTAAATGTGGTGAGAACCTGGCAGCTCCAACAAGATGTATGCGGTAGGAGGGAGGCCCAGTCAGTGGCAGAGAGGTTAGTAATGTAAACTATATACAACTTGGTATTTGTAAGGGGGGAGTGCTTTGATAGAGATGCAAATGCTTTTTGCACAGAGAGGGATTTTTAGAGAGCAGACTTTGGAACAGTAGAACTAAGAAAACATATAAAGCCAAAGCAGAAATTCCCCCTATGTTTGCTTTCAGTTATTCTGAGTAGGAGTGTATATAACAGCAGAGCATAGAAAAAAGCAACACACCTAAGAGCCGTTACACAGTAGGGTACAAAACAGCATTGAACCCGTGAGACTGGGAGAAAACAAGAGCCAGGATCTCCTCTTCCTCACTCCACTCTTCTTTGAAATCAACGTTGAGTCATACTGTATCGGAAAGGATTTACCATAGAAATCAGAACTGTCTTGCGGTGTTAGCATAGAAGGGCTTTAGATAGGAAAGTTTTCAACTTTATTCTCAACATGGCAGATTTTAGGTTCCAGGGAGAAAATACATTTTCTTTCATTAACAAACATTAGCATTTCTTGAATGGGCTTAGCTTTCTAGTCCCTAAATTGGCATAAGAAAAGAAATTTTTTTCAGGTTGAACATGGCAAATTCAGGGCTACAGAAAAACTGTTTAGAAAGCTATGAGCACCTGGCCAGAGAGACTGTGATGGGAGTGGGTTTACAATGCATCATTCATTACTGCAGAGGCACTACGTGACAAAAATCACTAGATCCCATCAATGTGCAGCCAAGACCTGTAATCACCTTTGCTCTTATTTAATAATATGTGATGTGTACATTCTCTCTCTCTCTCTCTCTCTCTCTCTCATTTGATAGACTATGGAATTGGCCAACTGCACAGTTTCTTAACTGTTGCTGCTCACAATGAATGGCTCTTTAGTGGGTGGATTTCTGAATCATAAACATTCACGTAGTGGTACTTTTTCATCTAGCCTATGTGCTACAGCAGTGTCTTGCCTGTTCCTTTCTCAACATATTTTTCCCTCTTACCTTCCTGTACAGTATCTATTTCAGTTCATCCTGTTAGCCAGATCAGATTCAGCATGTCCAGAATGGCAAACAATTTATTGTCATTCAATCCTTAAATCCTACTCAACACTCTGATTTTATTCAGGTCCTACTGTCCACTTACTGCAGGTCTCCCACATTAGATCCCAGAGTCCATTTGAATAAAAGATTCTACAGAGCAGGAAGAAACCTTCTAAGTTCATCCTGTCAGTTCCCTTACTTGTAGGCAAGACAGTGCATCATTATTTCAGACTGAAATAATGCCCACAGCTTCTTTTAATCATCCAACCAAGCATCTCAATTTATCAGTCTTGCAGAAATCGAATCAATATTGAAATACAGCTTTTCAACCTAAACACCATGTACCCTTCTGCTCCCCAGACAGGATCCCCTTTGAACATAATTCTCATTATTGTTTCTGAGTCATTTATATTATGACCTAGATTCCTCCCAGATTAGCTTTCAACCTTCTGGGCATGTCCCTGAGGTTCCTAGTGACATCCCTAGAATCCTGTCTTTGGAATCTCACCTGTTTATCTCCTGTAACTTTGAGACCTTGTATAACTTCCTTTAAATTATTGCTTCCTGGAATTTTCAATATGTTTTGAATCTAGTTTCCTTTGGGAAATCAATTAGTCTAAACTGCATTCAGCATGTATATTATTGTTCTTACAGTACAAAGGACTTGCAGGGCTCCACATATTCTTTAGCCGATCAATGGGACATAAATCTATTTCTCATAAATTTGTCAAAAGACTCCTCCCAGTCCCAAGTTCCTACATCTACATACCCTCCAAGCCAAATGAACAATGTGTCCTTTTTTATTTGGGTGTCTACATGAAAGCTGCCAGTTCCTTTCCAATGCTGAGACTATGAATCTATAAAGATACAGCAAAGGTAGAGGTGGCAGGTTGCATGAGCCTTTGAGTGCAAGTAAATAAAGGAAACATACATTTTGCTTTTGAATGCCCCAATAAGTAAGGGCACATTGCCCACCTTACCCTCAAGGACTTGAAGATGTAGAAGATACGGATGAAAAGAAATATTTTATAAAATTGTGTAGTTATAGAAAGAAATACAGACCATAATGGCTCAAGGTCCTTCAAGATCACCTTGTTCACATCACATATCCTTCAGTTTCACATAGATAGTGAAACTGAGGCCCAAAGAAAGCAAGTGATTTGACAAAAGTGACATAAATATTTGAGTCTGAGAGTTTCCATAATATTTATTTGCATTCTCTTATGCTGCATTTATTTAACACCAAAACAACTAGTTAAAAAGTGAAATTTTTGTCAGACTGGTTCTTTGATGTGATATGCCAAAAAGGTTATTTGTAACCAAATTAAATCTTTTCAAGTAATGAGCAGATGTAAATTCAGCTTATCAGGTTTGCATGAGGATATAGCCTCAAAAGTCAACTGAGTCTGGTCATATTATTAGCCACTGAGTCCTTTATGAACTGCATCCTTGTTTTTCCTGTTATTGAGCTTTGGGCCCATTTCAGTGTCATGTTTGCTTGCTTATGGAAACGTAATCAAGCACCATCCTCTCTCACTTGTTCATTTCTATTACTCATTCAAGCTATCCATCACATACAGTAGTGTGAGTAATTGATCTATTTTGAGAAGGCCTGAAATCTGATGGATCTCAAATATATACTTTATTCATGCTAGTGTTTTGCTACGTCCTAATGCCTCCAGGATGTTTCCTGGATTTGTGTTTAGGTTTCTTCATGTACACCTTTTTGACTCTTCAGTCTTCTAGGTGGTGCAATACAGCAGTCTGCTATTTGTACAGTATTTTCCCCATGGTCATCATTATCAGTTCTAGGCTTGGTAAAATCCTTCAGGGAATGACCAACCACCTCTTCCTGACTGTAGTACAATGGAAATGCAAGCATATGCTTTCTAGACATTCAACTTAGCTTAAATATGGTATAAGAATATCACTTTCCTTTAAGAAAGTCAGTTTATTGTGTAAGGTAGTGATAGAGAAAAGAAGTCCAAGCAGATTCTGCTTGGTAAGTCTCATCAATATGGAGGTGACTTAGGATAGTAATAGGTATAATTACAGATGATTTTTGAAATAATTCAGGACTTGTCTTCTATAGTTCCTTGATCCCCAGTATTACTCCCACGTGTACAAAAGTTTGATTCTGGAGCCTCCATTCCATTTAAAAAGAATCACTTCCTTAGTAAGTTAAAGCAGCCAGTAAGGTGAAGAGAACTGCAAGATGATTAGTCTTGGTTTCCTTATACTCTTGGGAAGCCTTTTTTTTTCCTACTACACTGCAGACAGCTTAATTCCTACCTTCTGTGTGTTTGCTGTATCTCTGCCTTTATTGCATTCTCCTTGCTTGCCTGTATTCACTGAATCAAGTAATGTCCTTTCTTATCTGTTTATTTCTGCTTATCACAAATTCACACTGAAAAGATAATTTTGATTGGATATATATATATATATATATATATATATATATATGAGCAACTTCTCATGGGAGACTTTTGAGGCTTTCTCTTTTCCTTCAGCATTGCTTCAGAAAATAGCCTTTGCAGTTAATATTAGGTTCCATTTGTATTAGAATTCTGATGCCCAAGGCTTGGATGTCTCTGCTAGCAAATACCTGAATGAGCTAGCTGCTCCTGTGAAACTAGGCATTTGATGGAATACAAAAAGAATCAACTATCTGATATTTGTTCCCAAACTTCTTTATAGTCTGGAGGGGATGATGAGATTTGCCTATAAAGAAGTAAGTGAGGTTAATTACAGAATAAAGGTGTAGCATGAAGATTACTGTAAAGTAATTGAAGGTAGTGGTGGTGATAGGGCCTGAGCTTTGTTGGTTTCTTGCAAAGTACTTATGCCTGTGTGTTCTCATTTACTGTTTTTATGCCTTCTCTCCTAGGATTTTCTCATGTGCCCTGAAATCCATGTAACTACAAGGGCTCCTCTTTATCACCATAAGTGCCACCCTGACTTAAAACCACTCAGAGCTAAAAAATCAAGGCAAAATGGATGCTGCGGTGACAGATGATTTTCAACAAATTCTGCCTATTGAACAGCTGCGCTCTACTCATGCTAGCAATGACTACGTGGAACGGCCTCCAGCCCCCTGTAAACAGGCCCTCTCCAGCCCTTCCCTTATTGTGCAAACCCACAAGTCTGATTGGTCTCTGGCTACCATGCCTACTTCTCTCCCCCGCAGTCTCAGCCAGTGCCATCAACTGCAGCCCTTGCCTCAGCATCTGAGCCAATCTAGCATTGCCAGCTCAATGTCCCATAGCACCACTGCCTCTGATCAAAGGCTCTTGGCCAGCATTACACCCTCACCTTCAGGCCAATCCATCATCCGAACCCAACCTGGAGCAGGGGTCCACCCAAAGGCTGATGGTGCTCTGAAGGGAGAAGCTGAGCAATCTGCAGGGCACCCTAGTGAGCACCTCTTCATCTGTGAGGAATGTGGGCGCTGCAAGTGCGTCCCCTGCACAGCAGCTCGCCCTCTCCCCTCCTGCTGGCTGTGCAACCAGCGCTGCCTTTGCTCTGCTGAGAGCCTCCTCGATTATGGCACTTGTCTCTGCTGTGTCAAGGGCCTCTTCTACCACTGCTCCACTGATGATGAAGACAACTGTGCTGATGAGCCCTGCTCTTGTGGGCCTAGTTCTTGCTTTGTCCGCTGGGCAGCCATGAGCCTCATCTCCCTCTTCCTACCCTGCCTGTGCTGCTACCTGCCTACCCGTGGATGCCTCCATCTGTGCCAACAGGGCTATGATAGCCTCCGGCGACCAGGCTGCCGCTGCAAGAGGCACACCAACACTGTGTGCAGAAAGATCTCTTCTGGTAGTGCACCCTTCCCCAAGGCCCAGGAAAAGTCTGTATGACCTTCCAACAAGGTGGATCCAGAGCTTTTCTCCTTCGAGTCCCCAACAGCAAAGCATAGGCCTCATCTTTGGAGAGGGGGAGGAGTGATAAACTAGCCAAAGTTAGGGCCTCTCTTTTGTTCCTGCAGTGTCAGGGGAATGACCAAGTACATCCTGGTGCAGGATGCCTTGTTCTTTCTCACAGTATCTATCCCACTCCTCTTCAGTCTTTACACCCTGCCAGCTCAGCCTTTATGGTTGTCATGGCAAATTCAGGTGATATATGGGTATGAGGTTTGAACACTGAGGACTGACAGGGCCAGCAACGTGGAGGTTTAGGGGCTCCCCAATGTAATACCTCTCGATGCAGGCTCTGATCGTCACTCTGTTTTCTGCTGTGCCTTTGGAAGCTTTCTTCTAAGATGGTTTTCACAGGTACATGTGGAACAGCGTTCAACCTTCCAGGGAATACGACCCCTTCTCCCTGTTACTGCCCTTCTCTTCTTTATTCCTCTCTCCTCTTTCATTATTCTGTTCTGTATTCCTTTCCCCTTCATTCTCACCCTGTCTGCTTTTACTTTTTCTCTTTCTTCCTCCCTTTCTCCTTCTCCCCTCCTTCTTTTTCAGACTGATCCTTTCTCTGCCTGTATTTCTATCTCATTTGATCTATATTTGTCTCTCTCTACCTGTCCCTTTTTCTCTAACATGTCCAAAAGTGCTGTTTTTCCATAGATGTTTCCTTAGATGCCAAACTTTGCTATGCTATACTATTTACTAATTTTTATTAAGGGAAATGGATTACTGTAATGAACTGATCACTAGCAATAGTGTGTATCCCGATGTGTGTGTGTGCTCACAACCACTCTCACCTGTTCGTGAGCGCATGAGGCGAAGTTATCTTATATTTCCAGGTTTAACTAGTTGGAGTTTTTCTCCCTTTCTCAATAATCAACTTATAGTGCTGACAGATTCCACTAGCATGCTGAGTAGGATAGTAAATCAGGATGCTCATAACTTTGTATGTCTGACCCAAGTGCCAAAGGCAGACGTGCTTTATAGCTAAATGAACAAAGCAAAGGATACAGAGGTATGTTCTCTCTTAGAAGCTAACTTCCCTGAGACTGCATGGCTCAGGCGTTAATAATGGACATAAAAAGTCATAAAACGTTAGAGCTGGAAGGAATCTTAACTATTAATCTAGTTCAATGCCCTTATTTTACAGATGGGAAAACTGAGGCCTGGAGGTAGGAAGGGACTTGCCCCCAAGGCCGCACACTGAGTTAACAGCAGAATTGAGACTGGAATATAGGCCTTCTGACTCCTAGTTCAGTATTCTTACCCCTGTACCACATTGAGTCATGGGACTTTTTCCTAGGGCTCTATTAACAGTGACAGAAAGCCATTCCCATTCAATTACTTTTCAGGAACCATGCCTAGTTAGTGTGGTGGTCTTTCTCCAGTGCATGGTGGGTAGCTAATTAACTATCAGGTGTTGAGGCTGCCCCCAGTGGACATCACCTTTGGCTCTGTCACCTTGTAGAAGCTCAAGTGTGGAAAAGAAAAGCTTAAAGAAGCCCTAACCAAGCTGTATCTTCGCCATTGCATCTACTCTTTGCTGCACACACTGTGCTTGCTCCTGGCTTTGTCTGCAATGGCAGCTGCCTGAGAACTTAAATTTCAGCAACAGTGAAAAACTGAGATGAAAGATGTATAATGTAGAGAACTGACTTCTCTCTTAAAAAGTACAGAGAGCCTGTGCTGTGAACCCCCTTCAATGGGAAAAAGCTGCAGTGGTGATGGCAGGCTCCTAAAGACTGCTGCTAAAAGACACAAGAATTATACAGTTTCCCTCTATAAGTGAATCCAAAATTCACTGACGAATTCAGAGATTGAGGGCACTTGCTTGAAATCAAGGTGCTCCAACTTAGTTTAAGACCTCCAGACTCTAACTTTATAGATCATCTCTTCTAGAGTGTGCATGGATGTGTGTTGCAGGGTGGAGAAGTGGGGAGAAGTGTATAGTAGTACACGGGGGGAAGAGGGGACCTCCATGTCCCTTTGTTGGATACATATTACAGAAATATGTGCCACTCACTTTTTGTTGGTTCTGAATCTTCCTGAAGTGTACTGACATTTGGGCTGCACAGAGCCCCACACCTTCACTTACACCTCCTCTTCTAGAATTGCTTTGCTCTATTTTTGTATATATAAATATGTTATGATGATTATTAATAATGTTAATGATATTGCTGCAAATGGTGCCATATATAAGGTTAGGCTTCTTGGAACATTTATAAACCCAAACCAATACCTGTAACCTCTTATGTTGCTTTCAGATCCTTCAATTTTAAGTAACTTTTTAATCTTACAAGTCTGCTTGATTGTACTTTACACTTATCTACCCTGAAAAGCTCTGCCCAGTTCTCTGGGTCAAGCTGGATGGTGATGAGTAGCAACACACACTTCTCTGCTTCTGCCTGAAATGTGCTTAGAGCTCAGTTATCTAAGGATTCTCTGACACTAGTGCATTGTTCCTGGAGCTAAATTATTCTATGGATGTTTGCTTATTAGTTTCAGGCCCCAAAATAACACGAGCCCCTCCTCCTTGATAGCTCCTTGATATCCCAATCTTGCAGTCCTAACTCAGGCAAATTGTGCACTGCCAGAGGGGCCCTGGGTTCTGCCATATACCCAGAGGAGCCTTTCTCAGTGTGTTTCTAAATGGCCTTACACTTGGTAGAAGAAATTGAAGGGTTACTCAAATACAGTTGCAATCTGCAATCTGCTGTTGAGTCAGGGCTTTCACTTGTGTCCAAGTTGGCCTGATATGGACTGCATCTGCTTTACGTATAGATGGGTCCTGTTGGGATATGCGCATGGACGTGTGAGTGAGTGTGCGTATGTATCCCTTCTGTGATTATATATATTCACACATCTCTATATATTTTAATGTATTGCACATGTATATTTAAAATATATACGAAAGAACTCTAAATCCTGCAGGGAGGCTCTGTTTTCATTATTTTTCTACTTTGTGTCATGTCCTGTATAAACAGGAATATTTAGAGGGTGTTTCCTGCTTAGCATTTTTTTGCAGTTAAATCATCTGTTAGCCCCTAACTCTACTGCCTTCCACATATTGGTTCCTTGATACATTTCATATGATATCAGCCAAGAGTTTTCCTGTGGTTCCAGCCCATCTTCCCTAATCACAATAGCAATAATAAATATAGTGAATACTTACATAGTGCTTACTATATGCTAAGCACTATTTTTAGCATGTTATTTATATTAGCTCATTCATTCCTCACAATTCTACAACATAGGTATCATTCCAACCTCTATTTTACAGATGAGAAAACTGAAGCACAGAGAAGTTAAGTGACTTGCCAAAAGGTAACAATTGTAAATGGTAGAGCTAAGATTTGAACCCAGGGTGTCTGACTCCCAGGTCCATGCTCCAGAGTCAGATATAGAAGGCTGGAGCACAGTGTAAACCATTCTGGAGTAACAAGCCTCAAATGGTGAATAATTCTTTCCCTAACTCTGGTCCACCTGCAACCTAGGAGTTAAAATAAGTATCTTGCTATGTTAAGAGTAAAGCAATAGTTACAGGCATCATATATTAGCTGTCTTGCTCCCAAAATGGTGACATTACAAACTTTTCCACTATTCCCTTTGAAAACATGCTTGCAGCCAGTTACCATTTCTTAGCTTATGATGTAGAGCTATTAAGGGAGTATTTTCACTTGTGCCAAAGAGGGTAAGCGTTTATTAGCCTTATCTTTATTGGCCAGGGAAAACTAATTCAATTTTTTTTTGAACAAAGTATAACTGAGACTATTTTTGGAGCTTAAGATTTGTTAGAGCTGTTAACATTCAACCTTATTGATTATATTGAGAGCGCTCTTCTGATTCAAATGTAAGCAAACCACTGATGACCACTGGTCCGTATAACACATTTTACCAACAGCTCCTTCACACTGAATCCTTTAACTTGGCCAAAGGACCCTTAAAGAACATCTAGTCCAATGTCAACATTTTATAGCTGGAGAAAGGGATGCACAGAGAGGGAAAATAACCTGTCCAAAGTCACACAGTTCTGAAAATTGAGTGGAATTATGACTTTATACCAGAGTTCCTAATTTCCAGGTATCTTAGCCTCAGTTTCTTAAAAAATAGAGTTTGAAGCAAAAGCTATGTACGATCCAGGGTAGTATGAGTAAGGAAAGGGTTAATGAGGGAGGGAAGAAAGAAGAACAAATAAAAAGCATGTCACTGAGTTGGCCACAGTCTGTTCCTTGGCAAGCTAATTTCGCAATTTTTTGTGACAGACCATATAAAACTACTACATCTCCATACAGCCCACGTGGTGGAGGAAAGGAGGTGAATTCATCTGCTAGCTCTCATCTCATTAGTCAAATTCTTCCCCATGTGATATTTACCCTTCTACATTTTTGGGTAGTGCGTGATGGGCACTTAAATATGTACCTTGGCATTTCATGCTTCAGCAATAATGGGAAGGATTGTGGCTCCACTATAAACAGTAAGGCAAGTATATGAATATAGGGAGATTAAATTTAAAGTGCTACACTAGGGTGGTGCTTTTACCTTATGTCTTTAATCACATTCCTTCGAAGTAAGTTAGAGATAACCTACCACCTTTAAAGTAAATAAAGCTTTATTGTGGCTCTTAGAACTGTACTATGTTTGCCTTCCTGAACCTATTTATTCTCTAGCTTGCTTTAAAGGGCTTCTTTTTTATATGGAAATTAATTCCCTGTTCAATTAAAGGAGTAACAAACTCTCAAAATATCTTTCTTCTTAATATAAAAAGGAATTTCATATTATTGAACTCCTCAAAAAGCATGTGTAAGTCAAAATATGTATGTGAAGGCACATATGTTCTTTTAGGTTCCA
This sequence comes from Homo sapiens, assembly GCF_000001405.40. NCBI lineage: Eukaryota > Metazoa > Chordata > Mammalia > Primates > Hominidae > Homo > Homo sapiens. The sequence continues at coordinate 56,966,158 of NC_000024.10, forward strand.
TGAGCATAATAGCAGGAAAACTGGTTAAGTCAATAAATGCTGGGGAAAAAATGGCTAAACAAGGTATTCTGTAACATGAAAATAAAGCAATGAGTTGGTTGGCTGGCTTTTTAAAAAATATTTCAGCCACTAATTATGACACAGACACATTATAAGAATTATGCTACCTTTTATTCACATATACAATAGTTCCCTGTGTCCTATAGATCATTGTCACATAAAGCAAAAGCATTAGTGCCCCATTTGGACCTTTGGCCGAAGGTTTGATAAGATTTTGTAGGACTGAAATTCTTGGTCCCTTTATCCTAGTTTAGGCCCATATCCTTATTTTCACTCTCAAAGATAAGATCATGACACTACCAGTGTTGCTGCTGTTAAAGGCCAGGATGGACAAGATAAGGAAAGGCATTTTGGGAATGACACTGACTAATGTTAGGAATCTTGCTGTCATTACAATCCAAGTTATATATGTTTGCTCCCATATGTATTTGTTGGCCAATCTCCTGAAAAAGAAGAAGGTAATTCTAACCCACACATTGTCATTCCCAAACTAACCTGGCAATCCTTTTGACCATACCAGGTAATAGTCATCCCTCTGATGGTAAAAGACAGAGATGTCAAGGCTCTGGAAGCTCCCAGGTCCTTGAAGAACTAACTAAACTGCTGAACACAGAAGTGGTAATGTAGGCAAGCCACAGGTATGTTCTCTTGTAACAAGATGGGGTTGACCATATGTGAACCCTGAAGAGTCATTTTGAACCTGTGTCCTAAGGCCTAGAGTACTTTAATCCTCATCTTCAAAGTCTTACCACTCTGATAACAAAAAGAAACACTACAAAGAAACTGCAAGGAAAGGGACAGTCATTTTTTTTAATATCTACCAATTATTTAGTTATTCATATATGCATTTCTTTATATAGAAAAGTATTTATATGAAGTTTCCAAAAGACTCTGATATTCAGCTTTATAGTCTTGGATAGAAAATCATGTGTCCTTGGATGGGGATTCACACACCAAGGCTTAACAGAATTAGTTTGGGGAATACTCATTTTTACTCTAGAGATTAGTTGGCTTAAACAACTTTACTCGTGAATTTTTTTCTTAATGGAGGTGAAGACCTCCCAAAGAGGAGAAGGCCCCAGGCCTTTCTTAATATATAAACCATATTGAAAGAAAGAAAGAAAAAAGTAATGGGAAGTAATAGTAAATGTGGATCCAGAAAGAAAAACAAAGGTTAAGAAAATGATGTATGTGAAAGAAAAAAAGCTCTATAATCAGTGTGTTTCTCTCACCTAAAACACCATTTACTAACTACTTGGTTCAGTTGTACCCTTTAACTCTATTTTGTCCTTGACTTATATCAACACTCTTCTTTTCCAAACTCCTATAGCTCTCCATCTGGAATGATTCTATGGGGTGGGGGGTCGGGGGAGGAGAAAGGGAGACAGCAGAAGAAAGAAAGAGAGAGAAAGATAGAGAGAGAGAGAGAGATGGGTGGAGACTTGGCCTCTCTCCTAGAGGTTCAAAGTTAGAATATGCCACTAACACTATCTGCCTTTCAAACTCCCTTCTAGGACATGCTCCATAGTACTTAGATCTTATATCAAATGACAAGGTTTCTCTCCTTCAGAGAGAAATACCAGACTGGATTTGTGGTTTCCCTGGATTGGTTTTTTCTGAGTCAAAGTGGTGTTGTAGAAATCACAGTACCCTGAGACCAATTAAGTCAGAATCTTTGGAGGTGTTGAGGAATGGATTTTTAAAGTTCCCAGATGATTATAATATGCAAACAGATTTGAGAAAATTGAATCACTTTATTCCATAAATGCAGATAGTGAGGCTAAGAGAGGGAAAGTGACTTACTCATAACCACACCGTGAGTTAGTGACCAAGTCAGGATAAGAATCCAGGTCTGCTGACTCCTAGGCCAGAATTCTTGTCTTTATACTACACTGCTTCTATCTCTACCCTATTCCCCCTCTGAGCCTTTGCTTTTCTCATCTGTAAAATGACGATAATAAAGCCTAGAGAGTGTATGAGAATCATTAAAGCAGAAGCATTTTTCTTAATGTACAAGGTTCTATACAAATGCAAGGGAATTAATGTATAACATATATGTGGGGCTAAGTCTCTAAAACAACATAATAAAAGTTGTTTTTATTTTAGTCAATCTTTTAGGTATTGTGTCTACCTGATAGCATGTAACAAGATTGAACACTTGTGTAGGTCGTATGTGCCTTTAATCTGAGGTTGGCCTCAGTGACAATCAAAATTAGCAGTTGAGGAAAAAGGTCATACATTTTTCTCTTGCCCTTGCTGGAATAGGGATCAAGAGGAATATAAAAGCAGTGGGATATCTGGATTTCTTATACTCAGTCAACCACAACATGGCCTTAGTACTGAACTAGCCCAGGGTTTCAATGGAACTCGTAGATCTCATTCCCAAGGCTGGTCCTGGTTGAAGGGAGAAGGTCAAAAAAGGACGTGTCTTCTGAAAGGCATTACCCATGGAAAGCCAAGGGGGAGGGTTGCCCACTAGGAGGAGCTTCTTTTGTAGAAGCCAGAATGGAGGAAAGGGGCTTTCTGACTTGGAGCATCTGAGGAAATAGATTATTTGAGGATCTAGTACTCCCAGAATAATCTGTAACCACAAGAAACACATTTCTTGAACTCCAGCGCCCCAGAACAGGATATCCATATCCAATCCCATCGTATCCATCCTGGATGTTATGAATTTCCAGAGAGGGCCACTTCTACCCCCCTAGGAGTCATACATCTGGCTACTTATTTGTTAAAAATAAAATTCTGTACCATTTATAAAATGGGCCTCTTATGTCTTCCTTATTTTGAAATTATAATATACATTCCTAATTCATCATTCATTTTTGCCAATGATTTTTAAGTATTTATTTGAAAGTTATTTTTAAATACAAAAATATATGTATTTAATAAAGCACTTCTTTATCTTCTTATTTGAACCATACTAAAAAATGTAAAACATGCCATGATTAAACTAGGTAATTCTATATATCACATTACAAGTAAGTTTTAAAAATCTATTTGGTAAATATATTCTCATTTCATCTTGAAATACCTCCCTTTTAAGGGGAGGGTAGAGAGACAATGAATTACTGTAAATCAAGAGGCCTAAAAGTATAATGACAAATATTTATAATTCAGATTCATCTCAGGCAGGGGTTTCTTTTCAGGTAATTAAGAGGTGATGACCTATGTTCAGGAAAAATTGGGTTGTTTAGAGGCCATGTAGGGGCCTATGATTTCCTAGAAAATATAGACCCAAAGAGCTCCTTGCTGGTAATTACACCGCCGAAGAAGTTCGTATACTTTGCCTCACAACAATTAGCACAAGAGCGTAGGTATGAGCTGCATAAAGTGCAGGTGAACAGAATGAAAAATCAGACTCAATCTGTAGTTCTGAAGGAAGGGTCAAATTTGGTTGTGGTAGGTGTTAATAGTTGAAGAAACTGAAATCTATTTCAAGAGCACTTCAGATAAACAGGATGGAGACTGGAGCCAAGAAGGAGAATAAACAGTAATTACTGCATAAGAGGCTAGAGCATACCTGAAGTCCAAAAGCAGCACTGAATTTAGAATCAGAAGATATAGATAATATACAAGAGAGTGTGCAATGCAGGGAGCCATGCTTGATGGGTTTCATCTAAAGGATTGTAGCTCCACCTTTAGCAAGTTAGCTTTTCTGTGCCTAGTTTTGAACCCAGGAACCATGACTCTAAAGATTTTGTGCTCTTAACTACTGCAATCTTCTTTTCAGTACAAAAATGGCTACATTAATAGGATTATAATGCATCCCGATTTGCCCAGGACTGTCTCAGCTAATACCTGTTTCTAAAATATTTATTAATAGTGCCTCCTTACACTCTGAGAGCGTATCTTGACATGACTTGTATATAATTTTTAATATGATGTTTAATCCCCAATTGTTTATTATCCATCATACCCCCAAACTCTGAACCTCCCTTGTTACCCAGATTACATTCCCTCTCTCCCTCTAGCATACTTGCCTGACAAAATCTGAACCTTAAGTATAATCACTTGTTCCACATTTTCATCTAAACAGCTGAATGTGATTGGAGAAAAACACAAAACGGTACATTCAAGCGTGCCCTTAGTACCACCGGGTATTATTTATTTCTCTCTTCAGTTTATTTTCAAATCAACTCTTTAAAAGGACTGCTTCACACTTCTCTCTCATCACACCTCAATACCCCACCTCTCCATGCCTCACTCCCATCCTATGACCTTGCAATATATCACTGGAAAATAGCCTTTCTTTTGAACTCACTCTAGCCAAGCTTTTAAACCAATGCTCACCAAAATAGCTCTTTTCAATGTCACCAATGATCCTACCTTTGCTAAATCCAATGGTCAATTCTCAGTCATCTTATTCAGTTTATCACTAGCATTTGTACCAGTCCATCGTGCCGTCTACATTAACAGCTACCCCCACCTGAGACAATGAGCCGCATGCAGTTAGTTTATTTGAGGGAAGTGATTCAGAAAACAGGAGAAGGGACTGAGAAAGGTGAGCCAGGAAAGGAAGGAACATCAGTCCAAGGGCATGTTATTGATCTGTTTACTACTATAGGCAACTGAGGATTATTTCCACTGAAGATTATTCCCACTGAGGACTCTCTAAGGAGCCATGTAGAATGCGCCCCAGAATTTTCCATCAGACATAGAAGAGGAGAGTGTTTTTCTATCAAATCTCATCTCCCATTAATTAAGTGTAATCCTAGAGGGTGTTTACTCACTGGCACTTGCAAGTTGGCACATGATTTGGACTCACTGAGCAGGGTCCTTCAGGTGATCCACATGGTGGTGGCAGAGAAGCCCCACAGCAGGAAGCAATAGTATGAGATAAAGCTGAATGAGGTAGCATCAAGCTACACCTACATGTAGTTACTGCAGCATGGCCTGAACAAAAAGGCGGTCCATATTGAAATATATTCTTTATTTGGCTTACAGCACACCACACTCTGCTGATTCTCCTCTCACCTCATTGATCGCTCCCTCTCCAAGCCCTTTGATAGTTCTTCCTCATTTTCCTGAACTGTAAATATTAGTGTGCCTGAAGTTTCAGTTCTTAGTCCTCTTCTCCATCTACACTCACTCTTGTGGTGATCTCATCTAGTATCCTTGATTTAAACACCATTTATGTACTCACAACTCCAAAATTTATAGCTCTAGCCCAATCTCTCCCCTGAATTCCAGAATGCTCACTTAAAATCTCTACCTACGAGCTTAATAATAATATAAAACAACATGTTTAACAGATAAATCTTGATTTCTATGTCATTGAGTTTTCCCTCACCTCAGTAAATGATGATTCTATTCTTCAGAGACTCAAGCTGACCATTTGGAGGTATCCTTCACTTCTATCTTTTTCTCATGTCAATCGGTCAAGAAATCCTGTTGGCTCTACCCTCAAAATAGATCCAGAATTTGACTATTTCTCAGTATCATTACTGCTACTACCTGTTCTGATCTACCATTATCTCCTCCCTCGATAATTGCAGCAGCTCTCTGATTCCACTAATCCCAAAGTCTAATCCCAACAGAGAAACTGCGATGATTGTTCTGAAGATGAAGGCCAGCCAGATCTTGTCATTCTTCTGCATAAAATCTTCCAGTGATCTTCCAATTAACTTAGAACCAGACTCATCTAGTTATGACTATAAGGCCCTACATACTCTTCCCCTGCTATTTACATGGCCAGCTCTCTCACTTAATTCAGGAGTTCACTCAAATGTCACTTCCTCAAGGAGGCTTTCCCTGAATACCCTAAATCAGCATTGCTCATCATTTTATCCTCCTGTTTTGGTTCATTTTCCTTCATAGGAATTCTTACTACCTGATTATATTATATGTTACTGTTGAATAAATAAGTTAATATGTGGGAGTTTAAATTGGAATGGTCTTTCTTAAAGTCAGCAAATATTGATCAAATGTCTCTTATGTGCCAGACAGACATTGCTGTATGTACTGCTCCAGTCTGTTCCTTCCCAAAACTCTTCTCTTGCCCCTGGAAACTCTACTTCTTTCATTTCTCCATTTTTGGAATTAACTGGGATTACAATGCTTCCCCTTCAGTACTCTCCAGTGGAGACTGTTCATTCTCCCATATATGGCTTCATTTCATTCCCAATGCAGCCTAGACTCCAGAGAGATGAAGATTTGAGTACCATCTTCATAGGAAGTGTTGGTTGAAATTGGAAATGTGTGATATCTCTCTCTGGCAGAAAGTATAAACTGGAGAAAAGCAAAACACCAGCAGAATCTTTCCTCTAAAGTGATACCTATCATGATTAGAGAAACCATACAGTTATGCTAGCAAGAATGCCAATTATATAAGAAAGGCAAGTTCACTGGGTCTCTTTACTGTAAAAAATACTTCTAGAAGAATACATTTGGAAACAACTACCATATGAATATAAGAGATAACAATTATTGAGTTCCTACTATGTTTCAGGCATAAAATTAACATTTAATCCTCATGACAACTTTATGATATAGAAATTTTATCACTATTGACAATGGATGTGGAAACAGGGGCTTTGGAAAGTTACTTGCATAAGGCAATGAAACTAACAAGTGAAAAGAAGTCCTAGGATTTAAAACCAGGTTTGTCTCAAACACCATGTTCTCTGCACTCTGCAATATCACCTTGTTTGCTAATTATATCAATTTAGAATGTGTGCATGGAAATTAAACATGCATTGTTAAAATTTTTACTAGATCTATCAGCAGCTTTCAACATAATTGACCCTTCCCTCCTTTAAGTTCTTTCCTTTCCTGGCTTCAATTAAGCTACATTTTCCTGTTTTCCCTCCTAATTATGTGGTTACTTCCCAGTCTCTTTTTCTAGTTTTTTTTCCTTTATCTGGCCTTTAAATATTGAAGTACTCAGGACTCTTCCTGTCCCTTTTGTTTTACAAGTCTACACACTTTTCCCAAGAAATGTCATCCCAAAACTCTTCCCTGGCCCCCAAGAACCATTTCTTCATTTCTCTACTTCTGGAATTTACACTCTTATGACTTCAACTATACTGATGACTCCCACATTTGTATCTCTAGCACACACCATTTTTCTTTTTTCTTTTTCTTTTTCTTTTTATTTATTTATTTATTTATTATTATTATACTTTAAGTTTTAGGGTACATGTGCACAATGTGCAGGTTAGTTACATATGTATACATGTGCCATGCTGGTGTGCTGCACCCACTAACTCGTCATCTAGCATTAGGTATATCTCCCAGTGCTATCCCTCCCCCCTCCCCCCACCCCACAACAGTCCCCAGAGTGTGATGTTCCCCTTCCTGTGTCCATGTGTTCTCATTGTTCAATTCCCACCTATGAGTGAGAATATGCAGTGTTTGGTTTTTTGTTCTTGCGATAGTTTACTGAGAATGAGGATTTCCAATTTCATCCATGTCCCTACAAAGGACATGAACTCATCATTTTTTATGGCTGCGTAGTATTCCATGGTGTATATGTGCCACATTTTCTTAATCCAGTCTATCATTATTGGACATTTGGGTTGGTTCCAAGTCTTTGCTATTGTGAATAGTGCCACAATAAACATACGTGTGCATGTGTCTTTATAGCAGCATGATTTATAGTCCTTTGGGTATATACCCAGTAATGGGATGGCTGGGTCAAATGGTATTTCTAGTTCTAGATCCCTGAGGAATCGCCACACTGACTTCCTCAATGGTTGAACTAGTTTACAGTCCCACCAACAGTGTAAAAGTGTTCCTATTTCTCCACATCCTCTCCAGCACCTGTTGTTTCCTGACTTTTTAATGATTGCCATTCTAACTGGTGTGAGATGGTATCTCATTGTGGTTTTGATTTGCATTTCTCTGATGGCCAGTGATGGTGAGCATTTTTTCATGTGTCTTTTGGCTGCATAAATGTCTTCTTTTGAGAAGTGTCTGTTCATGTCCTTCGCCCACTTTTTGATGGGGTTGTTTTTTTTTTTTTTTTTTCTCTTTGAGACAGAGTCTCGCTCTGTTGCCCAGGCTGGAGTGCAGTGGCGCGATCTCGGCTCACAGCAAGCTCCGCCTCCCAGGTTCACGCCATTCTCCTGCCTCAGCCTCCCGAGTGGCTGGGACTACAGGCGCCCGCCACTACGCCTGGCTAATTTTTTTTTTTTTTTTGTATTTTTAATAGAGACGGCATTTCACCGCATTAGCCAGGATGGTCTCGATCTCCTGACCTCGTGATCCGCCCGCCTCGGCCTCCCAAAGTGCTGGGATTACAGGCCTGAGCCACCGCGCTCAGCCACACCCCATTTTTCTAAGCTCAGTGCTGTATCCAATTGCATAGTCTATATCTACATATATTATAGATACCTCAAGTTCAACACATTCAAAATTGAACTAATTAACTTTGTTCCTCAAATCTGCTCATCTTTGATGGTTCTCAAACTCAATAAATGTTATTACTATCTACTCAAATGCTCAAGCCATAAGCTTGTGAATCCTCCTATCTTCAGTCTCTTCATCTCCTATATGCAATGAATCAAAAAGTGCTGTCAATTCTTCTTTCTTGAGAATCTCTCTAATTCATTAGCTTTTCTACATCTCCACAATCATAATTAACCAAAAAGCTATTAACAATGCCTTATTGTATTGCTCCAATAGCTCCTTAACTAGTTTCCTCATAAAACCTTTTATCCCCACTCCAATATTTTCTCCACATAGCAAATAATAATATTTTTAAATGTAAATTTTATTATGTCATTGTCTTACTCTCTATTGCTATTTGTAGTTCCCTAATTATTAAATCAAACTTCTTAATATTGCCAGGCCTCTGCCTACTTCTCTCCTACCTCATATTCTACCTTCTCCTCCTCACTGTATTCCAAGTATACTATCCTTCTTTCATTTTCTTAAACATACAAAGTTTTATCCTGCTTCAGGTAATTTGCCTATATTGGTCTATCAGAGCAAACCCCTTTACATAGCTTACCTCTGCTCATTCTTTACATCTCTTAACCATCACTTGCTCAGGAAAACCTTTTGTTTTGCTCCCTTGAAGACTAGATTATGTCCTTCGTTATACACTTCTATAGCACTTGGTGCTATCTCTGACTACACTACTAATTATTTAATTACAGATTTATTTCTGTCTTCTGCTAAAATATAAACTTTATAAGGGCAGGAATAATTATTGTGTTGTTAATTCCTGTATGTTCACTACCTGGCATATCATATAAAGTTATTGAGGGGGAAGCACATATTGATGTACTACAGTGTATTCTACTGAGAAAAATAAGTTTCAGATTATTTTTCATTATGAATCATCAATGTAATTGCTCCTTTATACTGACTTAAAAATTGAGAGATGTATGTATTTTAATTATGTCTATTACTTAAGCCTATACTTCACTCTGTATTGCAATCCTATTATAAAATGTGCCTAAGCTGTTGGCTAGAAAATTTTAAATTTATGTTATATACCACTTGAAAGTCATACATTTTTTCAGTCAATGCCAAAATACTCAGAAATACTGTTAATTCTTCCTTACTGCCTACCTTTGTCATATCATGCTGGGTTAGGCAGGGTTGATTCATCTTGGAAAACATATTCACTTGACTTCATTTACTTTTACTTTCAAATGGGAGTTCCTTACATTACAAAAAAAAATTTTTTCTTCTCCTCTCTTGGATGCAAAAGTAAGACCCAATTTTATTTATAATTTTATTATAAAGACATAGATAAGTTAAAAGGAAATATGTGGAAAGTGATATACAATACAAAAAGTAAACCAAAGAAAGCTAGAGTGACTATACTAATATCACATAAAGTAGACTTCTGAATAAGAAATATTTTTCAGGAATAAAGAGGAACATCTCATAATGATAAGTTAATTCTCCAAGAAGACGTGGAAATTCTAAATGTGCATACACCTAATAGATTGAATATGCATGAAGCAAAAACTGACAGAAAAGAAAGCAGAAATAAACAAAACGTGATTAGACTTGGATATTTCAACACTCTTCTCAGTAATTGATAGAACAAATAGACAGAACATCAGTAAGAATATGAAAGATTTGGAGAACCTTATTGACCAACATGCCTTAATTGACATTTATAGAAAACTCCACCCAACAGCAGCAAAATACACATTATTTTCAAACGCACATGGAACATTCACCAAAATAGACCATATTCTGGATGACAAAACAAGTCTCATAAACTTAAAAAGAGCAAAATCATACAAGGTATATTCTCTGGCCACAATGGAATTGAATTAAGATTCTATAACATATCTGAAAAATCTCTAAATATTTGAAAATTAACAACATATCTGTACATAACACATGGGTCAAAGAAGAAATCACTAGTTAATTCAGAAAATATTTTGAATGGAATGAAAATGAAAACACAGTATATCAAAACTTGTGGGAGGACTGGGCACAGTGGCTCATGCCTGTAATCCCAGCACTTTGAGAGGCCAAGGTGGGAGGATCAACTGAGCTCGGGAGTTCAATACCAGCCTGGGCAATATAGTGAAATCCCATCTCTTAAAAAGAAATATGTGGGAGAGTGGCTACCCAGACTTCATCAGTACACAATGTATCCATGTTAACAAAATTGTACTTTTTTGTTATAATCACAAAGTAGTGAATATGAGGATAAAATAAAGGAATTGGCAGGGTAGATATCTAAAGAGATAATTGAGTCAAATATCACTCAGAGGCTTGAGTCTAAGTCACTACAAGTATGAAATTCAAAAAATTAGAAATGAGAGAAATATCACTCAGAGGCTTGAGTCTAAGTCACTAGAAGTATGAAATTTGAAAAAATTAGAAATGAGAGATTTTGGTTAAATTTACAGAAAAAGAAAACTTGTGAGGTGTAGCTAACAGCAGTGCCTTTAGAGGGAAATGTATGGTATTAAGTGCTTATATTAGAAAAGAAGAAAGGATTCAAATCAACAATGTAAGTTTCTACTTTAATAATTAGAAATATAAGAGCAAAATCAACCCAAAGTGTAGAAGGAAGAAAGTAATAACAAAGAGAATAAATGAAACTGAAAATAGAAAAACAAGAGAGAAAATCAGTGAAACCAAGAGCTATTTGGAAATAGCTAATCTGATCAAGAAAAAAAGAGAGAAGACACAAATTACGTATATTAGAAATGAAAGAGGGAACATCACTATGGGTCCTACATATATTAAAAGTGTAATAAGGAAATACTATGAACAATTTTAAGCCAAGAGATTTTACAACTTAAATGAAATTGACAATTGCCTTGAAAGACCAAATGACCAAAATTTATTCAAAAAATAGAAAATCCAAATAGCATATTTTGTAAAGACATTGAATTCATAATCCATTAAAAATACCATTAAGCCAGATAGTTTCACTGGTGAATTCTATAAAACATTTAAGGAAAAAGTAACATCAATCTTACACAAATTATTTCAGAAATTAGAAAAGAAAGAGACAGTTCTCAATTTTTAGGCCAGTTCTCAATTTTTAGGCCAGTTTTACTCTGATTTAAAAAGCAGACTAAGTTATTGCAACAAAAGAAGGCTACAGAGTAACATCCCTTATGAACAAAAATACAAAAGTATTTAACAAAATATTAACAAATTAGATCCAGCAAGATATATAAAGGATAATGCATCACTACCAAGAGAAGTTTATCCTGGAAATGCAAGGGACAAAGACATTAACATTTGAAAATAAATTGTTGAAATTCACCATATCATCAGAATAAAGGGGGAAACCATATGATCATCTTAATAGATGCAGAAATAGCATCTGCAAAAAAAATTCAAGGCCAATTTGTAATAATAATTTTTTTAAAGCCCTTAGCAAACTAGGGGAACTTCCTCAACCTGATAAAGGGCACCTACAACAAAAGCCCTACTGCTTTACCCTTAAGATTAGGAATAAATGGACATAGAAAGAAGGATGGCTACCAGAGGCTGGGAAGGGTAGCTGGGGGTTGGGAGGAGGCGGGGATAGTTAGTGGGTACAAAAAAAGTAGAAAGAATGAATAAGACCTACTACTTGATGGCACAATAGGGTGATTACAGTCGATAATAATTGTATATTTTTAAATAACTTAAATAACGTAATTGGATTATTAGTAACTCAAAGGATAAATGCTTGACAGGACAGATACCCCATTCTCTATGATGTGCTTATTTCACATTGCATGCGTGTATCAAAATATCTCATATACCTCATAAATATATACACCTATGTACCCATAAAAAATTTTTTTAATTAAAAATATATTAGGAACAAGGCAAGTATGTCCACTCTTGTCATTTCTAGCCAACATTGTACTGAAAGTCCCAGCCATTGCAATAAGGTCCATATAAGAAATAAAAGACATTAAGATTGGAAAGGAAGAACCAAAACTATATCCACAAGTGACATTATTGTGTACATGGAATATCCTAATGAATCTCCAAAAGGGCTATTAAAATTGTAAGTGAGCAAGGTCACAAGATACAAGACCAACATACAAAAGTCAATTGCATTTCCATAAACTAGCACATAACAATTGAATATTGAAATAAAAAGCAATTACTTTTAAAATAACATTCAAAAAACATGGATTACTTAAGGTTATATTTAATAAAATACATTGAAAACCTGCACATTTAAAACTGTAAACTTTGCTGCAGAAATTGAAGAAAAATAAATGGAGGCATATATCATATTCATAGCTCGGAAGACTCAGTAGTGTCAATCCTCCCAATATTAATTCATAAATTTAACTTGAAAGATACTGACAAGCTGGTACTAAAATTTATGTAGAAATACTAAGGATCTAGATATCAAAATGAATTTTCTAAAATAACAAATTGGTAATACACTACTTGAGATCAAAACTTACTACTAAACACAGAGGAAGGTGTCAGGATAATTGCACAGGAAGTGGTATATATGAAAATAAACATATGAGGGCAAAATGCACTGATCAAGTAAATGAGATGCTCTATCTGGAGTGAAGAGTTTAAAATATATTTTTGGACTAGAAAAATGAATTGGACCCAAATTGAAGATAATTTTAAATGTCCTGATGAAAGTTGTTAGAAAATTAGTTGTCTATAATATATAGAATGATACTTGAAAGAGGCAGGGATACAAGTTAAAATTGTTTTCATGAACCCATACACAAAGTAGTGAATATGAGGATAAAGAAAAAAATAGGCATGGTAAATATAAAAAGAGATAATTTAGTCAAATGTAATTCAGAGGTTGGAGTTTAAGTCACTAGAATTATGAAATTGGAAAAAAAATAGAAGTGAGAGATTTAGTTTAAAAATGAATTCCATTTATAAATGTTTAATTTTATATCATTACAGTGTCAATCTGTTAATATAGAACAAGTGCTTTTCAAATATAGATAGAAAGAATGGATTTGAGATATAGACTTGGAAATCGTGCACATAAAGGAGATAGTTGATGCTGTGAGAAGGGAAAGTATAAAGAGAGATGAGAACAGAAGTATTTGACCTAAGGTTTAAAAAATACCAACTTCTGATAGCAAGAACAGAAAGAATGAATCAAGTAGAAAGGAAGGAATCCTGGATTGTCTCTGTGTTAACTTACACTGCTGTATGTTTCCAGGACTAGGAAAACTGGAAATGAGCAGGTGAAAATCAGGAAACTAAAATAAATTATTTGTTTCTTTCTAAAATGTCTGGTCAACCTTCGCCTGTTTTCCTTGACCTAATATTTACAGAGATGCTCAGTAAGTTCTAGTACTTAGTATATGGTCTAAGGTTTTTCTTGGTCTAAGGACATGAACTATGGATGAATGTAAGCCAAGGACTTTACAAGGCATATAGTTCTTTGCTCATCATAAGTTACAATAAAACTAAACAAAAAAATATGTTCCAAAGACTATAAAACTACAGAAATCAAGATAGTTTGGTGTTGGCAAAAAGATAGTCATATAGGTTAATGGCAGAGAATAAGGTATCTAGAAAGAGACCCGTATATTCATGGTCAATTGATTTTTCATGAAGGTGCCAAGGCAACTAAATGGAAAAAGGAGAATCTTTACAGCAGGTGGTGCAGGAACAACTAGATGTTCATATGAAAAAAAAAGAAGCTTAACAACTTGACACTTACTTCATGCAAATAAAAATTAACTTGAAATGGAAAATAGAAAAAAAAGAGAAAAATCTTGACAACCTTTGGGTAAGTAGATTTCTTAGGACACAAAAAGCATAAGCCATAAAAGAAAAAACACTGATAAATTGATTTCATCAAAATGTCAAAGTTTTATTCTTCCAAACATACTGTCAAAATAAAAAGACAAGTCGCAGATTGTGAGAAAATGTTTACAAAACAGTTATCTGACAAAGGATTTATATCCAAAGTATATAAAGAACTCTCAAAACTCAATAGTAGTAATAACAGTAAGAATAGGAATAAGAATAAAAGAAAAACAGCCAGAAGGAAAGGTGAGCTAAAAATTTGAATGGGCCCTCTGTATAATTGCCATTTGTATATTTTCTTCTTTGTATAAAAGATGTACATTCAGTATTGCCGTCATTGGAAGAAGAAAAAAGATATACAAGTAACAAATAGGCACATGAAAACACCCTCTACAAAACAGTAGAATAGATAAAATAAAGGATGTAATGATACCCTCTATTGCTAAGGATGTGGAGAAGCTGAAACTCACATCTTATCTGTGAGAATATTAAATAGTACAACCACTTTGGAAAATATTTCAGCAGTTTGTGTGTGGGGTTTTTTTTTTGTTTGTTTGTTTTCGTTTTTGAGATGGAGTTTCACTCTTGTTGCTCAGGCTGGAGTGCAATGGTGTGATCTCGGCTGACTGCAACCTCCACCTCCCGGGTTCAAACGATTCTCCTGCCTCAGCCTCCCAAGTAGCTGGGATTACAGGTGTGCGCCACCACACCCGGCTAACCTTTATATTTTTAGTACAGATGCGGTGTCACCATGTTGACCAGGCTGGTCTTGAACTCCTGACCTCAGGTGATCCACCCACCTCAGCCTCCCAAAGTGCTGGGATTACAGGTGTGAGCTACTGCACCCGGCCAGCAGTTTGTTATAAAAACTAAACATATGCTTTTCGTATGACCTTGTGATTCCACTCCTAGGTATTTATTCCAGATAAATACAAACATAGTTCCATAAGAAGATATGTACTTGTATATATCAGCTTTATCTATACTAGCCCTAACTTGGAAACAACCCAAGTTTCCAGCAACAGATAAAATGGATAAACAGGCCAGGTGCGGTGGCTCACGCCTGTAATCCCAGCACTTTGGGAGGCCGAGAAGGGTGAATCACTTAAGATCAGGAGCTCGAGACCAGTCTGGCCAAGATGGTGAAACCCTGTCTCTACTAAAAATACAAAATTAACTGGGTGTGGTGGCGGGTGCCTGTAATCCCAGTTACTTGGGAGGCTGAGGCAGGAGAATCACTTGAACCCGGGAGGTAGAGCTTGCAGTGAGCTGAGATCTCACCACTGCACTCCAGCCTAGGCGACAGAGTGAGACTGTCTCCAAAAAAACAAATAAATGGATGAACAAATTGTAGCATATCCATACAATGAAATAGCACCCAGTAGTAAAAATCCTGCCTATGTAATGAAGTCTCCATAAAAAGTGAAAAGGACTGAGTTTAGAAAGCTTCTAGATTGCTGAACACCTGGAGGTTCCTGGAGGATGACAATCCCAGAGAGGGCAGGAAGCTCCATGCCTCTTCCCCAATACCTTGCCCTAGGCATCTCTTCATTGGTATCCTTTGTAATATCCTTTGTAATAAACCAGCAAAAGAGTAAGTGTTATCCTGAGTGCTGTGAACCACTCCAGCAAATTACTCAAACCCAGAGAGGGTGTCATGAGAACTCCTGATTTATAGCTGATCAGTCATGGGTCACAACTTGGAGCTTGCAATTGGCATCCGAAGTAGAGCAGTCTTGTGAGACTGAGCCCTTAACCTGTGGGATCTGATGCTAACTCCAGGTAGATAGCATCAGAACTGAATTAAATTGTAGGACACCCAGCCTAGTGTCCACTGGAGAATTGCTTGGTGTGTAGGGAAAACCCCACACACATCTGGTGTCAGAAGTTTTATGTTAAACAACTGTATGTGAGTAGAGAGAAACTTTTTTCTTCAGATTATCACCTGGAGCAAGTCATTTTTAAATGCGCTCCTTCTTTGTATGAGAAAATTATTTTCAATGATAATTATGTACATAATCTGTACCTAACCTGTAAAAATTGTTATTTTGTTTTTATTTAGTTTTAAACCAAAAATTGATTTTAAAAGACTAAATTTCAATCTTAAACATATTCAAGAAGTAAAACATATCATGTGTGAACTAAAAATTTCACTTATCTAGCAAAAATAGTCTATCTCACAGCTCATACTGTGTTCTATTGCTTTGATTTTTAAATGTTTTTACTTTTTTTTATTTCAATAGCTTTTGGGATATACAGGTTTTTGGTACATGGATGAATTATATAGTGGTAAATTCTGAGATTTTAGTGCACTCATCACCCGAGTAGTGCACATTGTACTCAATATGTAGTTTTTTTATCCCTCATCCGCCTGCCCCCTCCCCCTTTCTGAGTCTTCAATGTCCATTTTACCACTCTGTATGCCTTTGCATACCCATCGCTTAACTCCCACTTGTACGTGTGAATATATGGTATTTGGTTTCCCATTCCTGAGTTACCTCACTTAGAATAATGACCTCCAACTTCATCCAAGTTGCTGCAAAAGACATTATTTCGCTCTTTTTTTCTGGCTAAGTAGTATTCCATGGTGTATATATACCACATTTTCTTTATCCATTCACCAGTTGATGGGTTGGTTCTTAGGTTAGTTCTATATCTTTGTAATTGTGATTGTGCTGTGATAAACATACAAGTACAGGTGTCTTTGATACAATGACTTCTTTCCCTTTGAGTAGATACCCAGTAGTGGGATTGTTGGATTGAATGGTAGATCTACTTTTAGTTCTTTGAGAAATATCCATACTGTTTTCCATAGAGGTTGTACTAATTTACATTCCTACCAGTAGTGTTAAGCCTTTTCTTTTCACCATATCCACACTAACATCTATTGTTTTTTGACTTTTTAATAATTGCTATTCTGGCTGGGGTAAGGTGGTATCTCATTATGGTTTTAATTTGCATTTCCTTGATGATTAATTATGTTGAGCATTTTTTTCATACATTTCTTGGCCATTTGTATATCTTTTTTGAGAAGTGTCTATTTATATCAAAACTCCAAGTGACCAAACAAAATTATGAAATTGAAATAACTCAAGTTTTTTTCTTAATCTTTACAATCACTGTGCTGTCATTGTTTCAGATCCACAATTTAAATGCAGAAATATGTAGTACTAAAGAGGTTGGATGACACAAACTGCCCTCAGTGGGCTTGAATGATTAGAGACCACTGTAAACTGACTCCCTGTATTAGGAAGTTCTTGCATTGCTACAAAGAAATACCTGGGACTAGGTAATTTATAAAGAAAAGAGGTTTAACTTGCTATGGTTCTGCAGACTTTATAGGAAGTGTGGTGCTGACATCTGTTTGGCTTCTAGGGAGGCCTCAGGAAGCTTTACAATCGTGATGTAAGGTGAAGGGGGAACAGGCACGTCACACTGTGAAAGCAGGAGCAACAGCAAAAAGGGGGAGGTGCCATACACTTTTAAATGCCCAGATCTTGTGAGAACTCACTCACTATCACAGTACCAAGGGGATGGTACTAAACCATTTATGAGAAAACCACCCCCATGATCCAATCACCTCCCACCAGGCCCACCTCCAACATTGGAGATTACAATTCAATATGAGATGTGGGTGGGGACACAGATCCAAACCGTATCACTCCCCAAATGAATGTGTGTAGCTGAGTCTACATATGTCATGGGCTGACTGCAGAATTGGCCTTACTCTGAATTAATTTATATCTAGAATTAAAGGTTAAATGATCAAAATATGCTAACTTGAAGGTTACATTTAAATTGTTAATAGTCAACAATAACAGTATCGAATGTCCAGAATTTAGCCCAACAAAAGAGTTTTAATCAACAAAAGGGTAGGAAAGAATCATATTAAGCAAATATTAGGAAAAGAAAACTGGTATACCTACATTAATTTCAGATAAAACATACTTTTCTACAAAAATACTATTAGGTATAGAGAGGATCACTACCTAATGGTAAATGTTCAATTCACTGCAAAGTTAGAGAAATTTTAAACATATTAGTACCTAATAAATAGCCTCAAAAATATGAAGCAAAAAATTGATAGAATTGCAGGGATAAATGAACAAACATACTACATAGAGAGAGATATTAATACTCCTCTTTCAATTAGGTCAAGGCAATAAAAAATTCAGAAGAATATATAAGATATCTTTATCGCAACTAAGAAGTTTGACTTAAACTTACTAATGCTGACCCCCAACATATAAAGAGTTTGAATAGTCTTTGAAACATAAAATGAATTAAAGCAGTATTTTAAAATAGTCCTACAAAGAAAACACCTTTTTTGTACAGGCAAGTTCAACTACATTTTGAGAAGATCATCTAAATTTTAATCAAACTCTTCTAACAATAGAAAAGAAGGAAAGCTTCTAACTTATTAAAGCAGCATAATCATGATATGAAAACCAAAGATATTACATGAAAGGAAAATGACATGTCCACTTTATTTATGAATATAAATGCACAAGTTCTACATGAAATATTACTAACTGAATTTAATGGTTCATTTTATGTTAGGGATGTAAACGTAGCTTAATATTAGAAGGCGTATAAAGGTAATTGACTAAACTAACAGATTAAAAGAAAAAACTGCATGATAATTTATTATAGAAAAAGTTTATGATAACATTTTGACTGTGGAAAACAATGCAGTTTATTTTCCACTGGTCAGGAACAAGAAAAATATAGTCCTGATGAGTGCCATCAGCCATCCTATGACTTTAAAGACAGCCGGTTCTTAAAATGATTCTGACTCTGTGGATGGCAGAATTCAAGGGAGAGATTTAAACAAGAGATATACATTTTGTATTATCAGCATATAGATGGTATTTAGAGCTATAAGACTGATTGAGGGAGGGGAATGAATGTAGATAGAGAAGAATAGAGATGCAAGGATGGAACCCCAACGTTTGTAAGTTACTCAGTGAGCCTTATGGGAATCAGCTGAAACTTATCTTAAAGGGCCAGAGTGAAAAAAGAGAATAAATTCAGTGACCCTAACAAACAAGCAAATCCCAGGTTCTCTAGGAGTCAGAACCATATAAAACGAAGGGTTCATAAATGCCTAAAGATATATGCTCAGGCATGCTCAGGTGTTGGATTTCTGTAATCCAGGGGAGGATGCTATTTCTGAGAAAGACTAGACTAAGTTTTCCTCCAGGGGAGGAGAATATCTGTCACCTAGGCTCAAAGGGATAAATTGGGTAGGTCTGAGGATGGGGTTAAAGTCAAAATGGTCATGTCATTTTATAGGTTTAATTTTCAGTATTGCCTATACCTAAGGTTGGGGTGGAAGAATAAGTAGATACAAGAAAATTTTCCCTAGGGATTACCAGGAGTGCTGATTGAAAGTAAATTAAGGAAAAAATGAACTGCATTTTCTATCATATGTGTTTCCAAAATTAACTGCCCTATGGATATCTTATGTAAAATGGTAGCCAGAGGACAGAGGTGAATTAGAACAGTTGCACAGGGAAACATAGGGACCCTGATATATGTTTATTTTTAATTAGACACCACACGGGTTAATTATATGGGGTCATTAGAAGAATAACTGCTCCAGATTCTCTCTCTGGTATGTGCAAAAGTGATGAGCCACAATAGCAGATGTACTTTCCCAGCAACAAAAATACTAAACCCTACAGTTTAAGTAGAACACCACTAAACTGGAATTGGTCCAGAATATAAGGAAAGTGATAGGATGGGAAATCAAATAGGTGCAGGAGTTTTTAGCCTGAAGAAAGAAATGATTCCAGGGTAGCAGGACCATTGTCTACAAATATTCAAAAAGTTGCCATGTAAAAGATGAGAGACAATTGATTTGTGTATCTTTAGTGGCAAAAGGAACCAGTTGAAGTTGTGAAGCTGATTATTTAACATCAACATAAGGTACAGTTCTAGTTGTCCAACAATTGAATAGTCTGCCTCATTAAGTAATGGGCTCCCATTCAAACAACACTTAAGAAGATATAGAATGATTCTTACTTGGGATGCTGGTGAGCTTATTACAGCATTGAATAGCTGTTGGATGAGAGAAACTTTAAGATCTAATTTCAGACTCTTTTACTTTATGAAAAAATACTCTTTCATTTTATTGAATTCAACCCCACATGTCATCAATGGAATTTGTATTCCCTTGAAGATTTATGTCATCGCAGTTTTCTTTTCCTTTCTTTCAAATAATTAACAAAACCATTGAAAGACACAATATGGCCTTTCAGACATTTAGCAATCTATGAAGGAAAACAATTTGGACACAATTGCACATGATAAGTATGCAAAGTGTTTAGTGAATTAATCTGCTATGACTTTCTTTAAAAATACCATTCAGCTGGGCACGGTGGCTCACGCCTGTAATCTCAGCACTTTGGGAGGCCGAGGCTGGTGGATCACCTGAGTTCGAGACTAGCCTGGCCAACATGGTGAAACCCCGTCTCTACTAAAAATACAAAAAATTAGCTGGGCGTGGTGGTGGGCACCTGTAATCCCAGCTACTCCGGAGGCTGAAGCAGAAGAATCGCTTGAACCCAGGAGGAAGAGGTTGCAGTGAGCCGAGGTCATGCCATTGCACTCCAGCTCGGGCATCAAGAGTGAAACTCCGTCTCAAAAAAAAAAAAAATACTTTTCAGCCCCACATTCATTATCTTATTCACAAGAATAGTATCCAAATACATTTAATATACCAAACTAGAAGCCTATCAAGAAATGGAAATAATAACAATAAAAACAGCTAAGACAGTAATAATTTACCATGTACCAGGTAATCTTTTAAACCTTTTGCATATATGACTTTACCACACCCCCTGAAGTAAATAATATTGTTAGCTTCATCTTAAAAATGAGGAAACAGAAGGATAAAGAATGTATGCATCTTGCTCAAGCACAGACAGCGACTAAATTGTAGAGCCAGGATTCAAACCCAGGAAGTCCTGCTCCCTAGCCGGTGTTACTAATAACTTCACTCTATAGTTTGGCATAACTTGGTTCAAGATGGTTACATGTAATTACTCCCACTCTTCTAAATTAGAAAAAAAAGATGATTTTTACAAGTAACATGTAAATATCTTTTCATTATAAAATTAAAACATTACTTATAAAGCTAAAAAGTTATCTTGATTAGCCTCCAAACCCAGTATCCTACCCAAATATAGCCAATGTTATCTGATTGTTCTATATTATTTGAAGTATTTTTAAATTTTTATACATATATACAAATATATGCATACACATGTGCACATATACAGGTTTTTTAAAGGTATAAAATAGAAATAAAAGTATTCCTCTGCAACTTGCTTTCCTTATTCAACAATATATCTTGAAGACCTTTTAGTTATAGTACATAGAGCTATCCCACATTCTTTTTAACTGTTGCATAATATTCATAGTATGGAAATATTTTTAATTTAGCCATTCCCATGTTGATGGACATTTAGGTTGCTTCAATTATTTTGCTGTTATAAACAAGGCTGTGGGAGAGTCCTTGTGTATGTCTGTTTTTGCCCATGTGCAAATATTACCTTAAGGTAGACACAGAGAAGTGGAATTGCTTGGCCACTTGGGGATGTGCATTTTAATTTTAAGGCATATTGCTAAGTTGTCATCCAAAATAGCTGAACAAACTTACACTCCTTTTAGGAGTGGGCGAAACTGCAGAAAACAGAATAGCATCTACCTAATCTAGGAAGTGTTGAAGAAATAGATTAAAGATGACATATTAAAGACATATTAAAGATAAGATCACATAGAGAGTGTGTAAACTATGGAATCTGGTGACATCCAAAAACATATCTCCAATCTGACCTCTCAGCTGAATACCTGACTTATGTGTCCAACCATCTGCTTGGTATCTATTCTTCTATGTCTAGTAGGCATTTCAAATCTAATGTATCAAAAACAGAACTTGTAATCTGCCACACTCCCCTTGGCCTGATAAAAACCTGTTTCTTTCTCTGGCTTTCCTATATCACTAACTGGTATCACCATGCACCTAATTGCTCCAGCCAAAAACCTAGGTTTTTAGCCAATAGTGCTCCCTCTACAGCCACCACCTACCACCCCACATTTTGAAATAAGACCAAGATGTATCATTTCATCCATAAATATTTCAGCAAGTACCTCTAAAAGATAGGGACTAATTTTTAAACATAATCACAATATCACATCTAAAGATAACTATTCCTTAATCATATCTAAAGATACTGTATCTAAGGGTAAGTATTCCTTAATATCATATAATATCCATTTACTATCAAAATTTCTCTGGTTGTCTCCTACATTTTTTACAGTTTGTTTGCTTGAATCAGGATCCAAAGAAGGTGGATATATTGGAGTCGATTATTATATCTCTTTAATCTTTTAATTATAGGTTTCACTTCTCTTCTCCTTCCTTTTAATGTCTTTGTGGAAGAACCAGTTGTTTGTCCTGTAAAATTTCCCACACTCTGGATTTTGCTAATTGCTCCTTCCCCAAGGTGTCTTCCTTAACTCAGTAACTGATATCACCACTCACCAGTTCCTCTGACCCTGTATTTCCTATAGGTTGGTGTAGAGGTTTATCAGATACAAATGCAAATTTTAGCAAGAATAAATCATACGTGGTGTCCTTTATACTTCCTACTGCATCACGTCAGGAGGCACATATGTCTGGTTGTCTCTCTTTTTTTGTTAGGTTAACACTAATTAGTTTGTTCATGTATTGTCACCCTGATCTATCTATTATAAACTTCCCAATTAACTTTTCACCTAATAATTTTAGCAGTTTTTGATGATCTTTGCCTATAGCTGTCATTTCATTATAGTTTGCAAAGTGGTACTATCCTGTCATCCTTCCTGCATTTATAAACTGGGATTCCTCTATAAAGAAGAACTTTTCCATATCAACTATTTGGTTACCCTGAAGTACTTTCGTCAAGAAAGGCAGAATAAATGTTTGATTCTTTTTTATTTACCCATTATAATGGATGGTTATTTCTGAAATAATGGGATGTAACAAATAACCCCCCAAATCTCAGTGACTTACAAGTATTTATTTCTTGTTCTTAGTCATTTGTGGTTTCTGTGGGCTCTACTGGGCTTGGCTAGGCTTGGCTCCAGAATAAGGGTTGAATTCAAGTCTGCCCCGTGCATCTTATTACTGTGTGATCGCATCGAAGGCTACCCAGGGCATATTCTTTTCATGGAAGATAACAGAAGTACAAGAACAAACAAGTACATCGAAAGCCTCTGCTTGCACCACGTCCACTCACATTCCAATATACAACATAAGTTATACAGCCAAGCCAAATATACTAGAATGTTGTATTGTCTACCTTTATACTAGAGTGTTGAGCTCAAAACTGTTGGGGTGATCGGACCCAGCACCAGGTTGTGGGGGTGATGAAGTCCAGTGGAGTCAAAGGAATGAGAAAAGACAGTTTGAGAAAGTGGGTCCAGGCGGCCATTGCTAAGTATGGAGGCTGCAAAGTCCCCGAGCTCTGGAAGTCCAGACGATTTATTAGTGATCAGACAAAGAAACAGGTGGTGAAAATGTGGGGGTCGAAAGGATATGTTGCATTAAGCACATGATTTACAGCTGTGATGGTTTAGCATTGATATGGCCAATTCTAAGACACAATCAATCTAGGAGCCTGAGAGGGCTAGAAGCAAGGAGCCAGCAAGTCTAGACACATTCCAGAGCCACGAGCCCTGGATTCTATCCAAGCCACGAGGGGTTTTATGCCCTGGGCTTAGATTATGGTGCATCAGGGTAGCCTTCCACCCTTTAGCACAGAGCTTGGTGTTCCAAAGGCCACGAGGGGTTTTAGACCCTGGACCCCGGACATGTTCCAAGACTCTGTTACATTATGTCAGACATGCAAGCCCTGCCTCAGCTTCTCTCCCAACACTCAGCTTTTCCCAACAAAAACTACATTTACTGAAATCCCTTTATTTGTATGGTTTCATATTAGAAGAAACTGTGTGATTAGGAGGTAAAAGTAAAACAATGGCTATAATTCTTGGAGGGTCTTCATGGTCAGATACTGCTGATTATCCATTGTTATGTAGCAAATTGTCCCAAGATTTAGTGGCTTATAAACTTATTATTATCTCTAATGGTTCTGTGAGTTGACTAGGTTCAGCTGAGTGGGTCTTACAGTTTGTCAGATGGTGTCTGGGGGCTGGATTTCTCTAAATAGTCAGCTGGACTGGGCCTCCAAGATGGTTCATGCACATGGTTGGATGTTGGCTGGGAATTCAGCTGGTGCTATAGACTAGAGCACTTACATGTGGCCTCATCATGTGGCTAGGGCTTCTACAGCATGGAAGCTGGATTCTTTGAGGAAGCATTCCAATAGTGAGTGTTCTAAGTGGCAGGAATCCATTTTCATGCCAGGTAAGTGCTGTGCCCAGAACTGGTATTGTACCATTTACACCATCATCTGCTAGTCAAAGTATTCACAGTTAGTTCCAGGCCCAATGGGATGGAGAAATACACTCTACCTCTTGTTGGGGGAGTGGCAAGTCATATTGCAGAAGAGCATGTAAGATGGAATATATTATTGCATCCATCTTTGAAAAATACAAATATACCACAAATATGGTGATGAACAGATGCAAAGGTCCCTGACAGATTCCAATTTGTCATCACTTCCTCTGCTCAGCATTTAGCTCATCTTTCCAACTGCTGACCCTGCTGACCAAAAGCAGCTCTAGATT
Organism: Homo sapiens; assembly: GCF_000001405.40. Classification (NCBI taxonomy): domain Eukaryota; kingdom Metazoa; phylum Chordata; class Mammalia; order Primates; family Hominidae; genus Homo; species Homo sapiens. The sequence goes on from NC_000024.10 coordinate 56,991,139, forward strand.
CACAATCAAAAGCTAGGTCCCAAAGAGGTGATACCATACACAGAGACAAAAGCTTCCCATAGGCCTCTAAATGAGCTTCCACTTCATGGTCCTACTTTTTCTCAGCATTTTGATGTATAATTGACAAATTCAAATTGCATATATTCAAGGTGTACAATGTGATGAGTTGATATAGGTATACATTGCGTAGTGATTACTACAATCAAATTCATTAATACATCCATCACCACACAGAGTTACCATATGTAACATATGTGCATGTGTGTGTGTGCAGTTAGGGCACTCAAAAATCTGCTCTTTTACTGACTTTCAACTAAACAATAAAGTATTATTAACTATAGTCACCATGCTGTACATTAGCTCTCCAAAACTTATTAATCTTACAACCAAAAGTTTCTACCATAGTCCTACTTTAGTAAGCTGGATGTGATTGGCTTCTCAGATTACCCTTAAAACCCCCAATTTGCAGCCGGGCGCTGTGGCTCAGGCCTGTAATCCCAGCACTTTGGGAGGCCGAGGTGGGCGGATCACTTGAGGTCACGAGTTCCAGACCAGCCTGGCCAACATGGTGAAACCTCGTCTCTACTAAAAATACAAAAATTAGCTGGGCATTGTGGCGCTTGCCTGTAATCCCCACTACTTGGGAGGCTGAGGCAGGAGAATCGCTTGAACCTGGGAGGCGGAGGTTGCGGTGAGCCGAGATCTTGCCATTGCACTCCAGCCTGGGCAACAGAGCGAGTCTCTCCATCTCAATAAACAACAACAACAACAACAACAACAAATTAGCCTCAACTCCAGAGTCACAGAAACGATACAACAATAAATTTGTGTTGTCCTGAAATTTTTGTTAATTTATTACAGAATAATAGAAAACTAACACAATATCTGTAAAATATTCAGTCTTCCGATACATGACCATGGTATATCTTTCATTTATTTACATCTTCTTTTATTTCTCTCAACAAAGTATTGTACTTTTACACATATTTAATTTATCCATCCATGTTTAATGATTTTGTATGCTTCTGTAAATGGTATTCTAAAATTTTAATTCCCAATTGTTCATTGCTTAGTACACAGAAATACAATTAATATTTTATCTTGTGACCTTATTCGCTCAAATAGCTTTTTATGTAGATTCCTCAAGACCTTATACATAGATGATTATGTCATTCGTGAATAAGAACAATTTTATTTCTACTTTTGCAATCAGTATGCCCATTATTTCTTTATTTCCCCCACCACACTGGCTAGGATTTCCAGTACTATGTTGAACAGAAATTGTAGGAATAGGCAGCCCACCTTGTTCACGATCTTAGGGAAAAATCATTCACTTTTTCACCCTTAGATATGATGTACACTGCAAGATTTTTGTACATACTTTTTGTAAGGCTGAGTTGCAGGAAGGCTTTTATTTTTTTCTCCTTTGGCTTCTTCACCCAGAGTTGGTGCTGTCTCTTCCCCATATACCTCTGGAGACCAGCAAGGGCCCAGACCCAGGGACCCTTTTTGTGCCCACACATGCTGCTGCAGCTTTACCCTGCAGTCCTCAATGTTTTGGGCCACATCTGCAAGATCAAGTAAGATGGTGACTTGGAAACACTGCATTTTGGGGATACCGAGCAAGAAGTTGAAAGGATGCTCAGGGCCCATCATGAATTGCTTATATCCAACAGAGCTATAAAAATTTTTAGTCCCTCCTCTTCCCAAAATTTCCCAGCATATTTCATTTTTTTCTTAAAATACTTAAGATCAGAGTAGAGGGGAAGAGAATAATCAGGAAGTGCAGTGAGAACTAAGTTCTGCACCAAAGCTTTATATTTACTTTGGGTTTCCAGTGAACAACTGCTCAAGCCTAACAAATTAACTTCTAATGTTTTGCTCTGCTCAAAGCTCTATATCCTCACTGCTGATGGTATTTTAGTATTGTCGGTTCTTTGATTCAGCATTCACACCATACCTTGCCTTTTGGCTGGAACCCCAGGGCTTGCCACCCCATTGCCATCATGACATGCCTTCATCCTCCCACCCAGAAGTAAATGAACAATAATCAAAGCACCATTGGGATTTTTTTTTTCAATTCTTAGCCTCATTAACAGCTAGAGAAGTGGAGGACCCTTATTCCCACCCTGGTCTGTCCATCACTGGGTAGAAACCGTTCACTATTAGATTCCGAGCAGTCTTCTCATATCGACTAACACAGCCTGCACCTATACTCATTTTCAAAACTGTCAAGAACTGTGAAGGATCTACAATTTTACCCTACTTACAAGGTAATGAGATAGCCTATTACTGTTCAATGGATGCTGGCAGAAAATATGAGGCTCCTCGATTGATACTTGCACATGTAATGGGTTGCATTATAGGAGAGAAACACTACAACTGGGGTATTCATTTCTACAGTGAACCCCTGCATTTTGTCCAAAGGAGAGACATAATGTCATCACTTTGGGTTGCTCACTGCAAACACAACCCTGAGAAACAACAAAGGTAAAAAGTATTCAGGACTGGTCAAGCGCAGTGGCTCATGCGTGTAATCCCAGCACTTTGGGAAGCCAAGGCAGGTGGATCACCTGAGGTCAAGAGTTTGAGACCAGCCTGACCGACATGGAGAAACCCTGTCTCTACTAAAAATACAAAATTAACCAGGCATGGTGGTGCGTGCCTGTAATCCCAGCTACTCAGGAGGCTGAGGCAGGAGAATTGCTTGAACCCAGGACGTGGAGGTTGTGGTGAGCCACGATCACGCCATTGCACTCCAGCCTGGGCAACAAGAACGAAACTCCATCTCAAAAAAAAAAAAAAAAGTATTCAGGACTTTGCATTTTTGGCATACCTAGCAAGAAGTTGAAAGGATGCTCAGGGCCCATCACAAATGTCAGTTTGCTAAGGACAATGGCTTCCAGCTCCATCCATGTCCTAGCAAAGGACATAATCTCATTCTTTTTATGGCTGCATAACATTCCATGGTATATATGCACCACATTTTCTTTCTTTAGTCTATCATTGATGGGCATTTAGGTTGATTCCATGTCTTTGCTATTCTGAATGGTGCTTCAATAAATATATGCATGCATGTGTCTTTATAACAGAACAATTTATATTCCTTTGGGTATATACCCAGTAATGGTATTGCTGGGTCAAATGGTATTTCTGTCCTTAGCTCTTTGAGGAATGACTACATTATCTTCCACAATGGTTGAAATAATTTACACTCCTACATACATTTGTATAAGCGTTCTTTTTTCTCTATAACCTTGCCAGCCTCTGTTATTTTATGTCTTTTAATAATGGCCATTCTGACTGGTATTAGATGGTATCTCATTGTAGTTTTAATTTGCATTTCTCTAATGATCAGTGATATTGAGCTTTTTTTTAATGTGATTGCTGGCCACATGCATGTCTTCTTTTGAAAAGTGTTAGTGTCCTTTGCCCACTTTTTATGAAGTTGTTTTTTTCTTGTAAATTTGCTTAAGTTCCTTATAGATGCTGGATATTAGACCTTTGTCAGATGCATAGTTTGCAAAAATGTTCTCCCTTTCTGTAGGTTGTCTGTTTACTCTGTTGATAGTTTCTTTTGCTGTGCAGAAGCTCTTTAGTTTAATTATATCCCATTTGTCAATTTTTGTTGTTGTTGCAATTGCTTTTGGTGTTTTCGTCATAAAATCTTTGCCCATGCCTATGCCCTGAATGGTATTGCCTAGGTTGTCTTCCAGGGTTTTTATAGTCTGGGGTTTTACATTTAAGTCTTTAATCCATCTCGAGTCAATTTGTGTATATAGCATAAGGAAGGGGTGCAGTTTTAATCTTCTTCATATAGCTAGACAGTTATTCCAGCGCCATTTATTGAATAGGGCATCCTTTCTCCATTGCTTGTTTTTGTCAGCTTTGTCAAAGATCAGATAATTGTAGGTATCTTGTCTTATTTCTGAGTTCTGTCTTCGGTTCTGTTGGTCTATGTGTCTGTTTTTGTACCAGTACCATGCTGTGTTGGTTACTCTATCCCTGTGGTATAATTTGAAGATGGATAGCATGATGTCTCCAGCTTTGTTCCTTTTGCTTAGGATTGCCTTGACTAATCGGGCTATTTTTGGTTTCATGTGAATTTTAAAATAGTTTTTTCTAGTTCTGTGAAGCATCTCAATGCATACTACCTGATTTTAAGAATTACTGGGGTCCGTTCCAGGATGGCCAAATAGGAACAGCTCTGGTCTGCAGCTCCCAGCATGATTGATGCAGAAGACGGGTGATTTCTGCATTTCCAACTGAGGTACCTGGTTCATTTCATTGGGACTAGTAGGACAGTGGGGACAGCCCATGGAGGGTGAGCAAAAGCAGGGCGGGGCATTGCCTCACCCAGGAAGCGCAAGGGGTCGGGGGATTTACCTCTCCTAGCCAAGGGAAGCCGTGACAGACTGTACTGGGAAAATTGGGACACTGTCACCTAAACACCAAGCTTTTCCAACAGTCTTAGCAAATGGCACACCAGGAGATTATATCCCACGCCTGGCTCAGTGGGTCCCACTCCCACGGAGCCTTGCTCACCGCTAGTCTGAGATCAAACTGCAAGGTGGCAAGCCTGGCTGGGGGAGGAACGTCCACTGTTGCTGAGGCTTGAGTAGGTAAACAAAGCGGCCAGGAAGCTTGAACTGGGTGGAGCCCACCTCAGCTCTAGGAGGCGTGCGTGCCTCTGTAAACTCCACCTGTTGGGGCAGGGCATATCTGAACAAAAGGCAGCAGAAACTTCTGCAGACTTAAACGTCCCTGTCTGACAGCTCTGAAGAGAGCAGTGGTTCTCCTAGCATGGTTTTGAGCTCTGAAAATGGACAGACTGCCTCCTCAAGTGGGTCCCTGAACCCCACGTAGCCTAACTTGGAGATACCTCCCAGTAGGGGCCAACTGACACTTCACACAGCCGGGTGCCCCTCTGAGACGAAGCTTCCAGAGGAAGGATCAGGCAGCAATATTTGCTGTTCTGCAATATTTGCTGTTCTGCAGCCTCTACTGGTGATACACAGGCAAACAGAGTCTGGAGTGGATCTCCAGCAAACTCCAACAGACCTGCAGCTGAGGGACTTGACTGTTAGAAGGAAAACTAACAAACAGAAAGGAATAACATCAACAAAAAGGACATCCACACCAAAACCCCATCTGTAGGTCACCATCATCAAAGACCAAAGGTAGACAAAACCACAAAGATGGGGAGAAACCAGAGCAGAAAAGTGGAAAATTCTAAAAATGAGAATTCCCCATCTCCTCCAAAGGATCACAGCTACTCACCAGCAATGGAACAAAGTTGGACGAAGAATGACTTTGATGAGCTGACAGAACTAGGCTTCAGAAAGTCGGTAATAACAAACTTCTCCGAGCTAAAGGAGGATGTTCGAACCCATCGCAAAGAAGCTAAAAACGTTGAAAAAAGATTAGACGAATGGCTAACTAGAAAAAACAGTGTAGAGAAGACCTTAAATGATCTGATGGAGGTGAAAACCATGACACAAGAACTACATGATGCATACACAAGCTTAAGTAGCCGATTCAATCAAGTGGAAGAAAGGGTATCAGTGATTGAAGATCAAATTAATGAAATAAAGTGAGAAGAGAAGTATAGAGAAAAAAGAGTAAAAAGAAACAAACAAAGCCTCCAAGAAATATGGGACTACGTGAAAAGACCAAATCTACGTTTGATTGGTATACCTGAAAGTGACGGGGAGAATGGAACCAAGCTGGAAAACACTCTTCAGGGTATTATCCAGGAGAACTTCCCCAACCTAGCAATGCAGGCCAACATTCAAATTCAGGAAATAACAGAGAACACCACAAAGATACTCCTCAAGAAGAGCAACTCCAAGACATGTAATTGTCAGATTCACCAAGGTTGACATGAAAGAAAAAACGTTAAGGGCAGCCAGAGAGAAAGGTCGGGTTATCCACAAAGGGAAGCCCATCAGACTAACAGCAGATCTCTTGGCAGAAACTCTACAAGCCAGAAGAGAGTGGGGGGCCAATATTCAACATTTTTAAAGAATTTTCAACCCAGAATTGCATGTCCAGCCAAACTAAGCTTCATAAGTGAAGGAGAAATAAAATCCTTTACAGACAAGCAAATGTTGAGAGATTTTGTCACCACCAGGCCTGCCTTACAGGAGCTCCTGAAGGAAACACTAAACATGGAAAGGAACAATCAGTACCAGCCACTGCAAAAGCATGCCAAATTCTAAAGATCATCGATGCTAGGAAGAAACTGCATCAACTAATGGGCAAAATAACCAGCTAACATCATAATGACAGGATCAAATTCACACATAACAATATTAACCTTAAATGTAAATGGGCTAAATGCTCCAATTAAACAACACAGACTGGCAAACTGGATAAAGAGTCAAGACCCATCAGTGTGCTGTATTCAGGAGACCCATCTCATGTGCAGAGACAAACATAGGCTCAAAATAAAGGGATGGAAGAAGATCTACCAAGCAAATGGAAACCAAAAAAAAAAAAAAAAAAAAAAAGCAAGGCCTGCAATCCTAGTCTCTGATAAAACAGACTTTAAACCAACAAAGATCAAAAGAGACAAAGAAGGCCATTACATAATGGTAAAGGGATCAATTCAACAAGAAGAGCTAACTATTCTAAACATATATGCACCCAATACAGGAGCACCCGGACTCATAAAGCAAGTCCTTAGAGACCTACAAAGATACTTAGACTCCCACACAATAATAATGGGAGACTTTAACATCCCACTGTCAACATTAGACAGATCAACAAGACAGAAGGTTAAAAAGGATATCCAGGACTTGAACTCAGCTCTGCACCAAGTGGACCTAATAGACATCTACAGAACTCTCCACCCCAAATCAACAGAATATACATTCTTCTCAGCACCACATCACACTTATTCCAAAATTGACCACATAGTTGGAAGTAAAGCTCTCCTCAGCAAATGTAAAAGAACAGAAATCACAACAAACTGTCTTTCAGACCACAGTGGAATCAAATTAGAACTCAGGATTAAGAAACTCACTCAAAACTGCACAACTACATGGAAACTGAACAACCTGATCCTGAATGACTACTGTGTACATAATGAAATGAAGGCAGAAATAAAGATGTTCTTTGAAACCAATGAGAACAAAGACACAACATACCAGAATCTCTGGGACACATTTAAACAGTGTGTAGAGGGAAATTTATAGCACTAAATACCTACAAGAGAAAGCAGGAAAGATCTAAAATCGACACCTAACATCACAATTAAAAAAAACTAGAGAAGCAAGAGCAAAGAAACTCAAAAGCTAGCAGAAAGCAAGAAATAACTAAGATCAGAGCAGAACTGAAGGAGATAGAGACACAAAAAAAACCCTTCAAAAAATCAGTGAATCCAGGAGCTGGTTTTTTTAAAAGATCAACAAAATTGATAGACTGCTAGCAAGACTAATAAAGAAGAAAAGAGAGAAGAATCAAATACATGCAATAAAAAATGATAAAGGGGATATCACCACCCATCCCACAGAAATACAAACAAACATCAGAGAATACTACAAACACCTCTACACAAATAAACTAGAAAATCTAGAAGAAATGGATAAATTCCTCGACACATACACGCTCCCAAGACTAAACCAGGAAGAAGTTGAATCCCTGAATAGACCAATAACAGGCTCTGAAATTGAGGCAATAATAGCCTACCAACCAAAAAAAGTCCAGGACCAGACGGATTCACAGCTGAATTCTACCAGAGGTACAAAGAGGAGCTGGTACCATTCCTTCTGAAACTATTCCAATCAATAGAAAAAGAGGGAATCCTCCCTAACTCATTTTATGAGGCCAGCATCATCCTGATACCAAAGCCTGGCAGAGACACAACAAAAAAAGAGAATTTCAGACCAACATCCCTGATGAACGCTGATGAGAAAATCCTCAATAAAATACTGGCAAACTGAATCCAGCAGCACATCAAAAAGCTTATCCACCAATATCAAGTTGGCTTTATCCCTGGGATGCAAGGCTGGTTCAACATATGCAAATCAATAAACATAATCCATCACATAAACAGAACCAATGACAAAAACCACATCATAATCTCAATAGATGCAGAAAAGGCCTTTGACAAAATTCAACAGCCCTTCATTCTAAACACTCTCAATAAACTAGGTATTGATGGAACGTATCTCAAAATAATAAGAGCTATTTATGACAAACCCACAGCCAGTATCATACTGAATGGGCAAAAACTGGAAGTATTCCCTTTGAAAACTGGCACAAGACAGGGATGCCCTCTCTCACCACTCCTATTCAACATAGTGTTGGAAGTGCTGGCCAGGGCAATCAGGCAAGAGAAAGAAATAAAGGGTATTCAATTAGAAAAAGAGGAAGTCAAATGGTCCCTATTTGCAGATGACATGATTGTATATTTAGAAAACCCCATCGTCTCAGCCCAAAATCTCCTTAAGCTCATAAGCAACTTCAGCAAAGTCACAGGATACAAAATCAATGTGCAAAAATCACAAGCATTCTTATACACCAATAACAGACAGAGAGCCAAATCATGAGGGAACTCCCATTCACAATTGCTTCAAAGAGAATAAAATCCAACTAGGAATTTGGGAATCCTAGGACTCCAACTTACAAAGGATGTTAAGGACCTCTTCAAGGAGAACTATAAACCACTGCTCAATGAAATAAAAGAGGACGCAAACAAATGGAAGAACATTCCATGCTCATGGATAGGAAGAATCAATATCGTGAAAATGGCCATACTGCCCAAGGTAGTTTAGAGATTCAATGCCATCCCCATCAAGCTACCAATGACTTTCTTCACAGAATTGGAAAAAAATACTTTAAAGTTCATATGGAACCAAAAAAGAGCGCACATTGTCAACACAATCCTAAGCCAAAAGAACAAAGCTGGAGGCATCATGCTACCTGACTTCAAACTGTACTACAAGGCCACAGTAACCAAAACAGCATGGTACTGGTACCAAAACAGAGATATAGACCAATGGAACAGAACAGAGCCCTCAGAAATAACACCACACATCTACAACCATCTGATCTTTGACAAACCTGACAAAAACAAGAAATGGGGAAAGGATTCCCTGTTTAATAAATGGTGCTGGGAAAACTGGCTAGCCATATGGAGAAAGCTGAAACTGGATCCCTTCCTTACACCTTATACTAAAATTAATTCAAGATGGATTAAAGACTTAAATGTTAGACCTAAAACCATAACAACCCTAGAAGAAAACCTAGGCAATACCATTCAGGACATAGGCATGGGCAAGGACTTCATGACTAAAACACCAAAAGCAATGGCAACAAAAGCCAAAATTGACAAATGGGATCTAATTAAACTAAAGAGCTTCTGCATAGCAAAAGAAACTACCATCAGAGTGAACAGGCAACCTACAGAATGGGAGAAAATTTTTACAATCTACCCCTCTGACAAAGGGCTAATATCCAGAATCTTCAAGGAACTTAAACAAATTTACAAGAAAAATTCAAACAACCCCATCAAAAAGAGGGTGAAGGATATGAACAGACACTTCACAAAAGAAGACATTTATGCAGCCAACAGACACATGAAAAAATGCTCATCATCACTGGTCATCAGAGAAATGTGTATCAAAGCCAAAATGAGATACCATCTCACACCATTTAGAATGGCGATCATTAAAAAGTCAGGAAACAACAGGTGCTGGAGAGGATGTGGAGAAATAGGAATGCTTTTATACTGTTGGTGGGAGCCTAAACTAGTTCAACCATTGTGGAAGACAGTGTGGCAATTCCTGAAGGATTTAGGACTAGAAATACCATTTGACCCTGCGATCCCATTACTGGGTATATACCCAAAAGGTTGTAAATCATGCTACTATAAAGACACATGTACACGTATGTTTATTGTGGCACTATTCGCAATAGCAAAGACTTGGAACCAACCCAAATGTCTGTCAATGAGAGCCTCGATTAAGAAAATGTGGCACATATACACCACGGAATACTATGCAGCCATAAAAAAGGATGAGTTCATGTCCTTTGTAGCGACATGGATGAAGCTGGAAACCATCATTCTCAGCAAACTATCGCAAAGACAGAAAACCAAACACCACATGTTCTCACTCATAGGTGGGAATTGAACAATCAGAACACTTGGACACAGGGCGGGGAACATCACACACCGGGGCCTGTCGTTGGGTGGGAGCATGGGGGAGGGATAGCATTAGGAGAAATACCTAATGTAAATGATGAGTTAATAGGTGCAGCAAACCAACATGGCACATGTATACATATGTAATAAACCTGCATGTTTTGCACATGTACTCTAGAACTTAAAGTATAATAATAAAATAATAAGTAAAAAAATAAATAAAAATAAAAATAAAGAATTACTGGCCAGGCGTGGTGGCTCACACCTGTAATCCCAGCACTTTGGGAGACCGAGGTGGGCGCATCACAAAGTCAGGACATCGAGACCATCCTGGCCAACATGGTGAAACCCTGTCTCTACTAAAAATACAAAAATTAGCTGGGCGTGGTGGTGGGTGCCTGTAGTCCCAGCTACTCGGGAAGCTGAGGCAGGAGAATTGCTTGAACCCAGGAGGCAGAGGTTTCAGTGAGCGGAGATTACACCACTGCACTCCAGCCTGGGAGACAGAGTGAGACTCTGTCTCAAAAAAAAAATTACTATAAAGCTACAGTAATCAAAACAGTGTGGTTCTGGCAAAGGGATAGACAAATAGATCAATGGAGCAAAATGAGACCATAAGTATGCCCACACAATTAGGGGTCAATTGATTTTTGGCAAAGATGCAAAAGCAATTTAGTGGAGGAACAACAAATGATGTTGCAACAATGGTACATCGATATGCAAATGAGAAAACAAAACAAAAAGCCCTCAAGCTTAACCTCATACCTTATACAAAAATTAACTCAAAATAGACCATAGAAATAAAAATGTACAATGCACATTTATATGCAGAACCGTATTCTCTTATACCACTTGAATTTTTAAAGTAACAAAAGGAGAGTCGTATACATCTATATATGCTCATGAATGAGTTAATACTCTGGAAGGATAGACTTGAAACCATTAGCAATTTCCTCGTGGTTGGGAAGAGAATGAATGATTTTACTTTACATTTTATCTGTTTCTGGGATATTTCCTTCTATTAAAAAAGCATCTTTTTCTCTTATAGCAAGAAAGAAACATCTTAAAATTTTTAATTAACAAACAATAATAATAGTATACATTATACATTTATGGGGTACAATATGATGTTTTAATTTTTTTAAAAAAAATTGACAATATCAAGTGCTGGGCAACTGGGTCTGTCATACATTACTAGGGGAATAAAAAATGGTGCATCCACTCTGCAAAATGGTTTGGTAGTTTCCTACAAAGTTAAACATAGACTTACCATGTGACTCAGCAATTCCATTCCTGAGTTTCTGTCCTAGAGAAATGAAAACTTATGTCTGAACACCAATGCTTATACCTGCACTATTCATAATTGCCCCAAACTAGAAAGAATCCAAATGTCCTTCAATAAGTGAATACATGAATAAACTGTGGCACAACCACACAATGAAATACTACTCAGAATACAAAGCCCAAACTATTGATACACACAACAGTTTGGATGACTCTTAAAGACATTATGTTGCATAAAAAAGCCAGTCTCAAAAGACTGCATACTGCATTATATCATTTATATAACGTTCTGAAAAAGCAAGACTATAAAGATATAGAACACACTTTGGGAGGCCGAGGCGGGTGGATCACGAGGTCAGAAGATTGAGACCATCCCGGCTAACATGGTGAAACCCCATCTCTAATAAAAATACAAAAAAAATTAGCCAGGCATTGTGGCGGGCGCCTGTAGTCCCAGCTACTCGGGAGGCTGAGGCAGGAGAATGGCGTGAACCCGGGAGGTGGAGCTTGCAGTGAGCTGAGATCGTGCCACTGCACTCCAGCCTGGGCGAAAGAGTGAGACTCCTCTGTCTCAAAAAAAAAAAAAAAAAAAAAGATATAGAAATAGAACAGGTTGCCAGCATTTATGGGTAGGAGGAGGGATGACTATAAAGTGGTAGAATGGTAGAATGAGGAAGTTTTATGTTAAAATTATTATATGTCCTGATGTAGTAGTGATAACATGTCTCCATACATGTGTTAAAATTCATAAAACTGTACATCAAGATATTTAAAAATCAATTTTTCTGGTGATTTAAAATAATATTAAAAATATTTTAGGTTAAAATCCATTTTTAATGTTAAGTGATAAAAAGTCCACTGCTTTTCTTGCTACACCAGAAATTGAAAACACAAGTTATTTCCAGAGGTCAAACAGGTAAAATAACTGTAAGTTTTCCAGGTATAAGAAAATAGGGAATGGTAAAGACTGTGTTTGAATTATAGTGTGTGTCCTAACCGAAGACATTCAAAACCAATTAAAAACAAAGAAGCAAGACTGTGTGTACACACACACATGCACACACACACACTCTGAAGCCCCCCACACTGTATGTTGTTTTTAGATTATTTTATGTAATCATATAACTTCAACTACCATGTGAATTTTCTTTTAATGACTGCTACCCAGATCTTACCTTGAAGTTCAAACGTATTATCCTCACATGCCTTCTGGATATCTCCAACTATATTTTTCATTGGTATTTAAAAGCTTAACATGACCAAAAATGAAGTAAACTGTATGGCCATCTTTTGGGCCTGAGAAACAGTCCCATAGGCTATGCCCAGTCTGAGGCTGGTAAGCAACCATGGGTTCATGCCCCCAGCTGGAGAAACAACCCTGTAGCTCCATCCCCAGGGAGTCAGACTCTAAGTTGGCTGACCCGCCATGTGCACACCTCACCACTGACCTGAGAAACAGCCTGATGAGCTGTTTCTAAAAAAGCAAAGCCACACCAGTACTGCCAGTACAAACTCTCTTAGCCTAGACCAATGAGACCCTTGCAAACATCACCGGTGTGGATTACAGCTAAAGAAACTACATGGAGACTATATTACTGCATCCACCCAGAACCAACCCAACACACCCCACTGACCTGATCTATATGAATAAGATTATATCTTATTCAAGACCTCAAGACTCATCTATATGAATATATCTTTCCCTACAAAACCTACTCCATAAAATTGGAAGAGGTGACTTTTCCACCAGATGTGTACAAATTGACATAGGGACACATCAAACATGAAAAAGCATAGAAACATGACACCTCCAAGGGAACATAATAATTCTCCAGTAACAGACCCCAATCATAAGGAAATATATAAAATGTCAGAAAAAAATTCAAAATAATAATCTTAAGAAACCTCAATGAGATATAAGAGAATACAGGTAGACAATACAAAAAATCAGGAAAATAATTCATGTCTTGAATGACAAATTCAACACAGCGATAGATATCATAAAAATGAACAAAACAGAAATCCCAGAGGTGAAGAATTCAATGAATAAAATTTAAAAAAAAGACAATTGAGGGCTTCAACAACAGATAAGACCAAGCAGAAGAAAGGAGTTCAGAGGAACTTCTGAACTTAAAGACAGGTGTTTTCAAATAACAGAGGTAGACAAAAAAAAAAGAGAATAAAGAAAGCATACAGAATGTATGGGACAGTATTAAGCAAACAAATATTCAAATTATTGACATTCCATAAAAAGAAGGGGGGGGAAAAGGTGTATAAATATGTTTCATGAAATAATAGCTGAAAACTTCACAAGCCTTGGGAGATGGCCATCCTGAACCAGGAAACTCAAAGGTTGCCAAACAGATTAAACCTAAACAGATTCTCTGCAAGCCACATAATGTTCAAATTGTTGAAAGTTAAAGACAAAACAATAATTCTAAAAACAGCAAGAGAAGAACATCAAGTCACATATAAAGGAACCCTCATTAGACTAATAGTGGCTTTCTCAGCAAAAAATCTTACAGGCCAGAAGAGGATAGGATGATATTTTCAAAATACTGGAAAAAGAAACCGCCAGGAAAGAATAATATACACGGCAAAGCTATCCTTCAGAAATGAAGAAGAAATAAAATCTTTGATAAACAAAAATTAAAGGAACACATCAACACTAGACCAGTATTAAAAGAAATGCTCAAGGGAATCTGACTTCTAGAAATCAAAAGACCATAACCACCATTATGAAAACATGCAAAACTGCAAAACTCACTAGTAGAGATGACACACAGAGAAAACAATCAAACTTTATAACTACAGAAAACCACCCAACCACAAAAATAAACAATAAGAGAAGTAAAGAACAAAGGATATACAAAACAACCAGAAAAAAAATCAATAAAATAACATAAGTCCTCATCTACCAATAATAACCTTGGATGTAAATGGATTAAATTCCCCACTTAAAAGATATAGACTGGCTGAAGGAATTTTTTAAAGACCCACCTGGATGCTACCTAAAAGAAACTCTCACCACCAGGAAGACACAGACTAAATGGGAAGAGTTGAAAAAATATATTTTAAACAGCTTGAGAAGGCAGAACAAGATAGCCAAATATAACCCTCCAGCAATCATCCTCCTACCGGAAAACCAAATTAAATGACTATCCATGCAAGAAAGCATCTTCATAAGAACCAAAAATCAGGTGAGCAATTATAGTACCTGGTTTTAAAATAATATCAAGAAAAGAGGCACTGCAAAAGATATAAAATACAGTCTTACATTGCCTACACCACCCCTTCTCCATCCCCCAGCAGCACACGAAGAGAGAATTTGTGTGCTTGGGGAAGCAAGAAAGAAGTGATTGTGGCACTGAGTTCCCACACTGAGTTCCAATGCTGCCCTGTTACAGCAGAACACAACACAGAGCAGAATCCTTCCAGTGCCCATGGAGGGAGCATTTAAACTAGCCCCAGCCAAAAGGGAATTCTCTGCCCCAGTGATAAAAACCCAAGTTTTGGCTAGCTCCACTGCTGGCCAATTAAAGTACCCTTTGCTTCTCAATAGGTTTAAAAGGCAGTCAGGCTACAAGAACTGCAGCCCTTGAGCAATTTCAGGTGCTGCACTGTGCTCAGAGCCAGTGGAATGGGAGTGCATATGAACCAGTGAGACATTAGCTGTGGCAGCCAAGGGAGTGCTTGTGTCAACCCTCCCCCAACTCCAGGCAGTGCAACTCAGGGAGTGACTCCTGCTTCCATAAGGAGAGGGAAGAGCACAGAGGACTTTGTCTTGCAACATGGGTACCAGGAAAGCCACAGTTAAATAAAGCACAAAACAGATTCCTGAAGCCCCTGATTCCAGGCCCTAGTTCCTGGATAGCATTTCTAGACCCACCCTGGGCCAGAAGGGAACCTACTGCACTGAAGAGAAAGACCCAGTCCTGGCAGGATTCACCACCTGTGGAATAATGAGCCCTTGGGCCTTGAATAAACATCAGTGTTAGACAGGCAGTATCATCATGGTCCTTGGGCGAGACCCAGTACTATGTTGACTTCAGGTGTGATCCAGTGCGGTCTCAGCTGTGGTGGCCAGAGTATTGCTTGCATCACCCTTTCCCCAACTCCAGGCATACCAGCATGGAGAGAGAGAGAGAGACTCCTTCTGTTGGGGGAAAGTGAAGGAAGAGAACTAGAGACTGCCTGGAGAATTCTCCTGGATCTCGTCCAAGTGCACCAAGGCAGTAAGAGCCTGCAAAAGTTGCAGCATTGCTGGGGTTAGGGAGCCCCCTAGTGCAGATATGGTTGCAATGACCAAAGACTTAGATCACAACCCTTTGAATTCCTGGAAAGCCTTGTCAAGAAGGACAAGTACATACAAGCCCAGACTGTGAAGACTAGAATAAATACCTAATTGATGAATATTCACAAGCATCAAGAACATGTAGGAAAACATGACCTCACCAAACAAACTAAATAAGGCACCAGTGACAAATCCCAGAATAACAGAGCTATGTGACATTTCAGCAAAGGATTCAAAATAGCTGCTTTTTTTGGCAGGGGAGGGGGGGTGTATTGCTCTGCCGCCTAGGCTGGAGTACAGTGGTGTGATAATAGTTCACTGTAGTCTCGAACTCCTGGGCTCAAATGATCCTCCCACCTCACCCTCCCGAGTAGCTGAGACTAGAGGTACACACCACCATGCCTGGCTAACATTTTTTAAAAATTTTGTAGACATAGGGTCTTGCTATGTTGCCCAGACTGGCCTCAAACTCCAGTTCTCAGGCAACCTTCCCATCTTGGCCTCCCATAGTACTGGGATTATAAGCATGAGTCACTGCATCCGGCTCAAAATAACTGTTTTGAGGAAATTCAACAAATTTCAAGATAACACAGAGAAGGAATTCAGAATCCTATCAAAGAAATTTAACAAAGAGATTGAAATAATTTTTGAAAATCAAGCAAAAGTTCTAGAGCAGAAATATTCAATTGACACACTGAAAAATGCACCAGAGTCTCTCCACAGCAGAATTGATCAAGCAGAAGAAAGAATTAGTAAGGTCAAACAGAGGCTATAAGAAAACACAGAGAAGAAAAAAAAACAATAAAAAAAGTGAAGCATGGCTACAAGATGTAGAAAATAGCCTCAAAAGGGCAAATTTAAGATATACTTGTCTTAGAGAGGAGGTAGAGAGAGAAACTGGGGTAAAAAGTTAATTCAAAGAAATAATAACAAAGAGCATTCCAAACCTAGAGAAAGATATCAGTGTTCATGTACAAGAAGGTCACATAAAACCAGGCAGGGTTAAACTAAATGAGACAACCTCTAGGCATTTAGTAATTAAGCTCCCAAAGGTCAAAGATGAAAACATAATCCTAAAAGCAACAATAGAAAAGAAACAAATATAGCATAAAGAAGTAGCAATATGTCTGGCAGCAGATGTCTCAGTGGAAACCTTGCAGGCTACAAGAGACTGCTATGACATATTCAAAGTGCTGAAGGAAAAAAACTTTTATCCTAGAATATTATATCCAGCAAAAATATCCTTCAAACATAAAGGAGAAATGAAGACTTTCTTGGACCAAAAAAAAACTAAGGGAATTCATCAAGTACACACATGAGCTACAAAAAAAAATGCTAAAGAGAGTTCTTCAATCTTAAAGAAAAGGATCCTAATAAGCAATAAGAAGTCATATGAACATACAAAACTCACCGGTAGTAGTAAGTACGCAGACAAATATAGAATAATCTAACACTGTAATGGTGTGTAAACCACTCACATCTTGAGTAGGAAGACTAAAAGACAAACCTATAAAAATAATAACTACAACAATGTTTTAAGAGATAGTATTAAAAGTCATAACTATAAACAACAAAAATTAAAAATCTGGGAGGGGATGGTGTTAAAGTGTATAGTTTTTATTAGTGTTCACTTTCCTTCTTTGTTTATTTGTTGTGCTTTTCTGTAATCACAGTTTAGTTGTCATCAGTTTAAAATGATTGGTTATAAGATGTTATTTCAAGACTCATGGTACCTCAAACCAAAAAATCTACAGATACACAATAAATAAAAAGCAAGAAATTAAAACCTACTACCAGAGAAAATCTCTTTTACACAAAGAAGGAAGGAAGGAAGAAAGGAGGAGGAGAAGCAGAAGAAGGAGAAGGAGAAGGGGAAGGGGAAGGAGAAGGAGAAGGGGAAGGGGAAGGAGAAGGAGAAGGGGAAGGAGAACGAGGGGAAGGGGAAGAGGAAGAGGAAAAGAGAGGGAGGGAGGGAGGGGATGGAGGGAGGGGGAGAGGGAGAGAGGAACACTAAACAGCCAGAAAACAAAAAACAAAATAGCAATAGTAAGTCTTTGCCTATCAATAACATTGAATGTAAATGAACTAAAATCTTGAATGAATTTTTTAAAAGACCCAACTATATGGTACCTACAAGAAACTCATTTTACCTGTATAGATACACACAGACTGAAAATAAAGGGCTGGAAAAAGATATTCTATGAAAATAAAAACCAAAAAAGGAGCACAAATACCTATACTTTTTATCAGATAAAATAGATTTCAAGACAAAAACTATAAAAACAGACTAAAAAGGTCATTATATAATGATAAACAGGTCACTTCAGCAAGAGAATATAATAACTGTAAATATATATATGCACCCAACACTGGAGCACTCAGACACAGAAAGCAAATTTTATTAGAGTTTTAAGAGAGAGATAGACTCCTCCAATACAATAATAGCTGGAGACCTTAACACACAGCTTTCAGCATTGGGCAGATCATCCAGATAGAAAATCAGCAAAGAAATATTGAACTTAATCTGCATAATAAATCAAAAGGATCTCATAAATCTTTACACAACGTTTTATCCAAGAGCTGCAGAATACATTTTCTTCTGAGAACATGGATCATTCTCAAGGACAGACCTATGTTAAGCCACAAAACAAGTCTTAAAAACCTCAGTAAAACTAAGATAGTATCAAGTATCTGACCACAATAAAATAAAACTAGACATCAATAACAAGAACTTTAGGAACCATGCAAACACATGGAAATAAAACAATATGCTCTTAAATTACCAGTGGGTCAGTGAAGAAGTTAGTAATGAAATTTTAAAATGTATTGAAGCAAATGAAAATGCAAACATAACAAACCAAAATCTATGGGACACAGAGAAAGCAGTACTAAAAGGAAAGTTTATAGCAATAAGTCCTACATCAAATAAGTAGAAAAACGACAAATAGCCAATTTTAAAATGCATCTTAAAGAATTATAAAAGCAAGAGCAAATCATATGCAAAATATGTAGAAGAAAGGAAATCATAATAATCAGAGCAAAAATAAATGAAATTGAAACCAAAAAGCAATACAAAAGATCAACAAAACAAAAAGCTGGCTTTTTTACAAAAATAAACAAAATTGACAAAACTTTAGCCAGATTAAGGAAAAGAGATAAGATTCAAATAAATAAAATAAGAAATTAAAAAGGAGACATTATAACTTATACTGTAGTAATTCAAAGGATCATTAGAGACTATTTTGAGCAATTATATGCCAATAAATTGAAAAACCTAGAAGAAATTGATAAATTCCTACACACATACAACCTAGCAAGATGGAACCATGAAGAAATCCAGAACCTGAATAGACCAATAACAAGTAATGACATCAAAGCCATAATAAAACATCTCTCATCAAAGAAAAGCTCAGGATCCAATGGCTTAACTGTTGGATTCTACCAAACATTTAAAGAAGAACTAACACCAAACATAATCAAACTATTCCAAAAAATTGAGGAGGAGAGATTACTTTCAAACTCATGCTATGAGGCCGGTATTACCCTGATACCAAAACTAAAGACACAACCAATAAAGAAAACTACAGGCCAGTATATCTCTGATGAACACAGATGCACATGTCCTCAACAAAATCCTAGTAAAACAAATTCAACAACACATTAAAAAGATTATTCACTATAACAAAGTGGGATCAACCCAGGGGTAAAGAATGGTTCCACATATGCAAATCAATCAGTGTGATACATTATATCAACAGAATGAAGAACAAAAACCATATGATCTTTTCAACTGATGCTGAAAAAGTATTTGATAAAATTCAACATCCCTTCATGATAAAAACTCTCAGGAGATCGAGACCATCCTGGCTAACACGGTGAAACCCCGTCTCTACTAAAAAAATACAAAAAAATTAGCCGGGCTTGGTGGCGGGCGCCTGTAGTCCCAGCTACTCCGAAGGCTGAGGCAGGAGAATGGCGTGAACCCGGGAGGCGGAGCTTTCAGTGAGCCGAGATCGCGCCACTGCACTCCAGCCTGAGCGACAGAGAGAAACTCCGTCAAAAAAAAAAAAAAAAAAGTCAGTAGCATTTCCATATATTAACTGTAAATGATATACAAAAGAAATCAAGAAAATAATCCCATCTATAATAGCTATAAATAAAATAAGATAAAATACCTAGGGATATACTTAACCAAAGAAGTGAAGGAAATCTACAATTAAAACTATAAAACATTGATAAAAGAAATTGAAGAGAACAAAAATTGTAATATATCCCATGCTCATAGATTAGAAAAATCAATATTGTTAAAATGTCCATACTACCCAAAGCAATCTACAAATTCAAGGCAATCCCTATGAAAATACCAACGACATTCTTCACAGAAATAGAAAAAAAATTCTAAAATTTATATGGAGCCACAAAAGACCTAGACTAGCCAAAATCATCCTAAGGAAAAAGAGCAAAACTGGAGAAATCACATTACCAGACTTCAAATTATACTACAGAGATTTAGTTACCAAAACAACATGGTGCTGGCATAAAAGCAGATACATAGTCCAATGGAACAGAATGCAGAACCCAGCAACTTAATCCACACATTTACAGTAAACTCCGTTTTAACAAAAGTGTCAAGAACATATATTGGGGGAAAGACAGTCTCTTGAACAAATGGTGCTGGGAAAACTAGATATCTCTATGTAGAAGAAAGAAACTAGACCCTTATCTTTTGCCACGTATAAAAATCAAATCAAAATGGACTAAAGACTTAAATCTAAGCCCTGCAATTATGAAACTAGTAAAAGAAAACATTGAGGAAACCTACCAGGACATAGATCTGGGCAAAGATTTCTTGAGTAATACCTTAGAAGCACAGGCAACCAAAGCAAAAATAGACAAGTGGGATTACATCAAGCGAAAATGCTTCTTCACAGCCAAGGAAACAGTCAACAAAGTGAAGAGAAACCCACAGAATGGGAGAAAGTATTTGCAAGTAACCTATCTGACAAAGGAGTAATAACTAGACTACATAAAGAGCTCAAACAACTCAATAGCAAAAAATCTAATAATCCAGCTTCAAAATGGGCAAACGATCTGAATAGACAAGTCTCAAAAGAAGGTATACAAATGGCTAAGAAGTATATGAAAAAAATGCTCAATTTCGTCAATAATCAGAGAAATCCTAATCAAAACCACAATGAGATATCATCTCACCCAGTTAAAATGTCTTTTTTCCAAAAGACAGGCAGTAACAAATGTTGGCAAGGATGTGAAGAAAGTGAAACCCACATACACTGTTGGCAGGGATGTAAATTAGGACAGCCACTATTGAGAACAATATGGAGGTTTCTCAGAAAAACTTAAAATAGAACTACCATATGATACAGCATTTCCACTGCTAAGTATATATCTAAAAAGAGGTAATCAGGATATTGAAGAGATATCTACACTCCCATATTCATTGCAGCCCTATTCGCAATAGGTAAGATTTGGAATCAACCTAAGTGTACATATATGAATAAAATGGACAAAGAAAGTGTAGTACATATATGCAAAATAGAATATTATTCAGCTGTGAAAAAGAATAAAATCCTGTCATTTGCAACAACATGTATGGAACTGGAAGACATTATGTTAAGTGAAATAAGCCAGGCACAGAAAGACTAATTTCACAAGTTCTCACTCACATGTAGCTAAAAATTAAAACAATTGAACTCGTAGACACAGAGAGTAGAATAATGATTATCAGAGGCTGGGAAGGGTAGTGGAGGGGAAATGAGGATGGTTAATGGGTGCACAAAAATAGATAGAATGAATAACATCTAACATTTGATAGCTCAACAGGGTGATTATAGTCAAAAATAATTTACTCTGTATTTTAAAATAATAAAAAGAGTGAGATTGGAATGTTCCTAACACAAATAAATGATCAGTGCTTCGGGTGATGGATATTCCAACTACCCTGGTATGATTATTATACATTATATGCCTATTTCAGAACGTCACATGTACCCCATGAATATTTATGTCTATTATACCAAAAATAACTAAAATGTAAACATTTTAATAAAAAAGATATTTCACATAAATGAAAATGAAAAGCAAGCAGTAGTAGCTATACTTTTATCAGACAAGTAAATATCAAGTCAAAGATGAAAAAGAGACAAAGAAGAACATTAGATCATAAGCCTATCAATTTAGCAAGAGAATATAACAACTAAACATATATGCACCAAACACTGGACCACCCAGATATATAAAGCATACCTTACTAGATCTAAAGGAAGAGATAGATTCCAATATAATAATACACCCCACTCTCAACATTGGACAGATTATCTAGACTGAAAATCAACAAAGAATAATAGGATTTAAACTGGACCATATATCAAATGGACGTAACAAGCATTTACAGAGCATTTCTTTCAACAACTGCAGAATTCACATTGTTTTGTTAGCATATGGAACATTCCCCAGGCTTGAAGATATGTTAGGACAAAAAACAAGTATGAGAAAAAAATTTTTAATCAAAATTATACCAAGTATCTTGTCTGACCACATGTAATAAAATGAAATCAATAACAAGAGGAACATTTGAAAATATACAAACACATGGAAATTAAACAACAGGCTCTTGAACAACCAATGGGAGGAGGAAGAAATTAAGAATAAAAATTTAAAATTCCTTGAAACAAATGAAATTAGAAACACATACCAAAACCAATGGACAGCAAAAACAGTTTTAAGATGCACATTTATAGCAATAATAACCTACCTCAAAAAACTAAAAACAACTTAGCAATGTATCTCAAGGAACAAGAAAATCAAAACAAAAAAACTCAAAATTAGTAAAAGGAAAGAAACAATAAAGATCAGATTATAAATAAACAAAACTGAGACTAAAAAACAATACAAAATATCAACAAAATGAAAAGGTTTTTTTAAAGAGAGAAACAAAATCAACAAAACATTAGCCTGACTAAGAAAAAAAGAGAGAAGACCCAAATAAATAACGCATAACACAGAAATACAAAAGATCATCATAGACTACTATGAACTACTACTACGAACTACTACTACTAGGCTAAGAAATAGGAAAACCTAGAAGAAAATTGATTGATTATTCTTGGGTACATACAACCTACAAGGATGTGAATCAAGAAGAAATAGAAAACCTGAACAGACCAATAACAAGTTATGAGATTGAATCAGTAATAAGCCTCTCAACAAAGAAAAATTCAGAAGCGAATGACTTCACCACTGAATTGCACCAAATCTTTAAAGAAGAATTAATACCAATTCTTTCAAAGTATTCTAAAAATTGAAATAGAGGACACTCTTTCTAACTCATTCTACAAGGCCAGTGTAACCAAAAACCAGACAAGGACACAGTAAAAACAAAAAACTACAGGCCAATATCCTCGATGAACATAGATTTTTAAATCCTCCACAGAATACTAATAAACTGAATCCAACAATACATCAAAAAGATAATACACTGTAATCCCAGCACTTTGAGAGGCCGAGGCAGGTGGATTGCTTGAGCCCAGGAGTTTGAGACTAGCCTGGACAACATGGCAAAACCTCCTCTCTACTAAAATATAAAAATTAGCTGGGCATGGTGGTGCACACCTGTAATCTCAGCTACTTCGGAGGCTGAGGCATGAGAATCATTTGAACATGGGAGGTGGAGGTTGCAGTGAGCCAAGATCGCACCACTGCACTCCAGCCTGGGTGACAGGGCGAGACTCTGTCTCAAAAAAAAAAAAAAATGCATTCTAGAAAGTGGAGGTAACTGAATGTAAAATTCTCACAGCAATTTAATAGAACAGTCCCAGATGGTTAGCTGAGGCTAATACCTAAAGAGGACGAAAGCCTTGTCTGTGGGGAATTTTGGATGATACCTGGAGAAATATTATGCTGTGCATAAACCAAATTGAATTGCTTTCATGAGTGTTGTAAAGTTTCATTTAATAAAGTTTTTTTCTACATGCATTTGAATTTCACAGCAAGAGTGGCAGAGAATACCTAAACACAGAAGAAAGCATTCATTCAAGACATCTAACTCCTTGATATAATGCATACAGTTCAAAATGATTACACTATCATTACATCTAGGGCTTTCTGTAAGTACAAGGTGGTGGTTATGGAAAGCACTGCCCCCAGTATCAACAACTAGAAAGCATCCACCACCCTCTATGTGTGTTCTCTTTTTGTATTTTTTCTTCATTTTTTTTAACTTTGCTGTTGCAAATTTTTAGCAAAACAGGTAAAAACAAAATTGTAATCATTGAACATAGCCCTCTGACAATCAAGACACTTAAAACCTTAAATCTTCTGGGGCAAAGAAAGCACTGTGCAACATTTAGAACTCTAAATAACATACAAGGTCGTCACAAATTTTCCTCGCTTAAAGAGTTCCACAACTTTTCTGATCAGGTCATCATAGGAGGTCTGACTTAAGTTTGTTTCAAAGCTAACATAAGAGGATTCTGGTTCTGGAGCGATGTGAATAATAAGTTTTGTCTGATTTCATTCCATTCATCAAATGCTCAAAAGGATTAAATATTGTGTCATCAGTGACAGAACCTGGAATCAGGTCACAAATTCCACTCTCATGAGTGACATTCTTTGCAGTAACACCATCTTTCATGTAGAACTGGTCCGTAACTGCTGGGTCAAGTTCACTTCATCAGAATTTCCAGGGTTTGATCTGGCTGACTGGTTACCCAACTCTCTGGGAACTCCAGAGTATATAAGTACTAACAGTCAGAATTCATATATCCCATACAATATGCTGCTCCATTTGGGAAAACTGCATTAAGAAACTCTATGTCTTCCTGGAAATTCTGGTTAGGGTACCCTTGGTGAAAAGGCTTAATGAAATTCTTATGAGAATAAAAGAGGCTTTGAATCGAGTCAAACCCACTGTAATCCCCAGCAAGCTTCGGCAGGGGAACCAGTGCTTTCAGCAAGAGGGTGGTACCACATGTCTTCAAAATGAAACGTCTCTTGGAGACAAATATGCTACTCTCACTGAGTACATAAGCTTCCTGCTTGTCAGTTTTTGTCACACATATGATTGAACATTACACATCCTTCAAAAATATGTCCCACTCAGATCTTGGAATACTGCTAAGATCCCCACATCCTTCGTTTGTATCAGGCTGCTACCAGGAGAACCAAACCTTCAGCAGCTTCTTGGTCCCTTCAAAAAATTTTGCAGCTTCCATCACCATGAGACTAGCAAACAACAAATAGCCACAGAAAATCAACTAAATTAAAGCTTTTCTCCTGCTGCTGCCACTGCTGCTGCAGCTTGTTCTAGCTGTGTTACTAAAGTTCGGGTTCCTTTCTTTGCTATAATTTTGTGATTGAAAGTTCAATGTGAGTCCGTCGGAAATAAAGGCAGATACAGTTCAGTCTCTTGTATTCCACTGCTTCCCCATTAGAGAGAGTAGAGCAAGTGCCAGCTAATGTCACCAGTGAAAGCCTAAACCTCTTTTCTTTATAAATTACCCAGTCTCAAGTGTTTCTTTATGGCAATGCAAGAACAGCCTAACACAGTATTACATAATAATAAAGGATGCAATACAAGAAGAAGATTTAACTATTCTAAATATATATGCACCCAGCATTGAGCACCCATATTCATAAAACAAGTTCTTCTTGGCCTATGAAAAGACTTAGACAACCACACAATCATAGTGGGTTCAACACCCCCCTGACAGTGTTAGACAGATCACCAATGCAGAAAACTAACAAAGAAACTGGACTTAAACTCAACCCTTGACTAATTGGGACTAATAGATATCTACAGAACACTCCACCCAATAACCACAGAATATACATTCTTCTCATCTGCACACAGAACGTATTCTAAGATCAACCACATGTTCAGTCATAAAGCAAGTCTCAATAAATTAAAAAAAATAAAATTGTACCAAGCACACTCTCAGACCACAGTGCAATAAAAATAGAAATCAATATAAAGCAGATCTCTAAAAACTACACAAATGCATGAAAATTAAACAACTTGCTCCTGAATGGCTCCTGAGTGAACATCAAAATTAAGGCAAAAAATTCTTTGAAATTAATGAAAATAGGGACATAACTTACCAAAATCTCTGGCATGCGGCTAAAGCTATGTTAAGAGAAAATGTTATAGCCCTAAACGCCTTCATCAAGAAGTTAGGATGGGCCAGGTGTGGTGGCTCACGCCTGTAATCCCAGCACTTTGGGAGGCCGAGTGGGCGGATCACTTGAGGTCAGGAGTTGGAGACCAGCCTGACCAACATGTTGAAACCCAGTCTCTGCTAAAAATACAAAAATTAGCCATGCGTGGTAGCGCACGCCTGTAATCCCAACTACCAGGCAGGCTGAGGCAGGAGAATTGCTTGAATCCAGTGGGTGGAGGTAGCAGTGAGCAGAGATGGTGCCACTGCCCTCTAGCCTGGGCAACAGAGCCAGACTCCATCTCAAAAAAAAAAAAAAAAAAAAAAGAAGAAGGAGAAGAAGGAGGAGGAGGAGGAGGAGGAGGAGGAGAAGGAGAAGGAGTTAGAATGATCTTGTGTTAGGCTGTTCTTGCATTGCTATAAAGGAATACCCGAGACTGGGTAATTTATAAGAAAACAGGTCTAAGTAGCTCACAGTTTTGCAGGCTGTATAAGAAGTATAGAACTGGAATCTGCTTCTGGGGAAGCCTCAGGAAACTTCCAATCATGGTGGAAGGGAAAGGGGGAGCAGGCAAGTCACATGGTGGGAGTAGAAGCAAGAGATGGAGTGAGTGAGGAGGTGCTACATCTCATGAGAATTCATTCACTATTGTGAGGACAGCCCC
Organism: Homo sapiens; assembly: GCF_000001405.40. Classification (NCBI taxonomy): domain Eukaryota; kingdom Metazoa; phylum Chordata; class Mammalia; order Primates; family Hominidae; genus Homo; species Homo sapiens. Next base: position 57,017,704 of record NC_000024.10, read on the forward strand.
AAGCCATGAGAGATCCATCCCCATTACCCAAACACCTCCCACCATGCCCCAACTCCAACATTGGAAATTACAATTCAACATGAGATTTGGTGAGGACACATGTTCAAACTATGTCAGATCTCAAATTAACAATCTAATTTGATACCTAAAGAAACTAAGACAAAAAAAGAACAAATAAACCCCAAAGCTAGCAGAAGAAAAGAAATAAATTAGAGAACTTAAACTGAGATGCAAAAATCCATACAAAAAATCAATAAAACAAATAATTGGCTCGAAACAATAAATAAGATTGATAGATTGCTAGCTAGATTAATAAAGAAAAAAGAAAATTCACATAAATACAATCAGAAATGACAAAGATGACGTTACATCTGATCTCACAGAAATACACAAGATCCTCAGAGAATACTATGAACAACTCTATGTACTCAAATTAGAAAATCTAGAGGAAATGGATAAATTCCTGGAAACACACAGTCTTCCAAGGTTGAATTAGGAAGTTATTAAAACCCTGAATAGACCAATATCAAACTTGGAAATTGAATCAGTAATAAAAACCTATCAACCAATAAAAGCCCTGGACCAAATGGATTCACAGCCAAATTCTACCAGATATGTAAAGAAGAACTGGTATCAATACTACTGAAACTGTTCCAAAAAAATAGAGGAAGAGAGATATCTCCCTAACTCACTCTACGAGGTCAGCATCAGCCTAATACCAAAATCTGGCAGACATGTTGAAGAAAGAAATCTTCAGGCCAACATCCCTGATGAAAACAGATGCAAAAATCTTCAACAAAGCACTAGCAAACCAAATTCAGCAGCACATCAAAAAGTTAATTCATCATGATTGATTAGGCTTTGTTCCTGGGATGCAAGGTTGGCTCAACATATGCAAATCAATAAATGTGATTCACTATGTAAATAGAGTTAAAAGCCAAAGCCATATGATCATCTCAATAGACACAGAAAGTTTTTGATAAAATCCAACATCCCTTCATGATTTAAGAAAAAAAAAACCTCAACAGGCTAGGCATTTAAAAAACATACTTCAAATTAATAAGAGCCATATATGACAAACCCACAGCCAATATCATGCTAAACAGTCAAAAGCAGGAACTATTCCCCTTGAGAAGTGGAACAAGACAAGGATGTCCACTCTCACCACTTCTATTCAACATAGTTCTGAAAATCTTAGCCAGAGCAATTAGGCAAGAGAAAGAAATCAAAGGCATCCAAATAAGAAAAGGAGTCAAATTATCTCTCTTCACTGACAATATGATTCTATACTTAGAAAACCGTAAAGACTTTGCCAAAAAGCTACTAGAACTGATACATGATTTTAGCAAGGTTTCAGAATACAAAATAAATGTGCAAACTCAGTAGCATTTCTATAAACCAATAACGCCCAGGCTGACAGTAAAACCAAAAGCACAATCCCATTTACAACACCCACAAATAAAATGAAATACCAAGGAATACAGCTAACCAAGGAGGTGAAAGATCTTTACAAGGAGAACTACAAACCACTGCCGAAATAAATCAGAAATGACACAAATAAGTGTAAAAACATTCCATGCTCATGGATTGGAAGAATCAATATTGTTAAAATGACCATACTGCCCAAAGCAATTTACAGATTCAACACTATTCCTATCAAACTATTGACATCATTATTCACAGAATTAGGGGAAAAAACTATTCTAAAATTTATATGGAACTAAAAAAGAGCATGGATAGCCAAAGCAATCTGAAGCAAAAAGAACAGCACACTACCCAACTTTATGCTACAGGGCTACAGTAACCAAAACACCATGGTACTGGCTCAAAAACAGACACATAAAACAATGGAGCAGAACAGAAAACTCATAAATAAAGCCACACACCTACAACCACCAGATCTTCAAAAAGGCCAACAAAAATAAGCAATGGAGAAAGGGCTCCCTATTAAATAAATGGTGCTGGGATAACAGGCTATCCATCTACAGAAGAATGAAAACTATACCCTTACTTTTCATCATATTCAAAAAATAACTCAAGGGATTAAAGATTTAAATGTAAGACCTCAAAGTATAAAAATCCTAGAAAACCTAGGAAATACCCTTCTCAACATCTGCCTTGGCAAAGAATTTATGGCTGATATGGTTCAGCCATGTCCCCACCCAAATCTCACCTTGAATTATAATAATCCCCACATGTCAAAGGCAGGGCCAGGTGGAAATAATTGAATCATGGGGAAGTTTCCTCTATACTGTCCTTGTGGTAGTGAATAAGTCTCACAAGATCTGATGCTTTTATAAATGGGAATTCCCCTGCACAAGCTATCTTGCCTGCCGCCATGTAAGATGTGACTTTGCTCTTCATTCACCTTCTGCCATGATTGTGAGGCCTCCCTAGCCATGTAGAATTGTGAGTAAATTAAACCTATTTCCTTTATAAATTACCTAGTCTCAGGTATGTCTTTATTAGCATGAGAATAGACTGATACAGTAAATTGGTACTGGTAGAGTGGAATGCAGCTGTAAAGATACATGAAAACGTGAAAGTGACTTTGGAACCAGGTGACAGGCAGAGATTGGAACAGTTTGGAAGGCTCAGAATAAGGTAGAAAAATGTGGGCAAGTTTATAACTTCCTAGAGACTGGGAGGGCTCAGAAGAAGGCAGAAAGATGTAGGAAAGTTTGCAACTTCCTAGAGACTTGTTGAATGGCTCTGACCAAAATGCTGATAGTGATATGGACAATAAAGCCCAGGCTGAGGTGGTCTCAGATGGAGACGAGGAACTCATTGGGAACTGGAGCAAAGGTGATTCTTGCTATGTTTTAGCAAAGAGCTTGGCGGCACTTTGTCCCTGCCCTAGAGATCTGTGGAACTTTCAACCTGAATGAGATGATTTAGGGTATCTGGTGGAAGAAATTTCTAAGCAGCAAAGCATTCAAGAGGTGACTTGGGTGCTGTTAAAAGCATTCAGTTTTATGCATTCACAAAGATACGGTTTGGAATAGGAACATAGGTTTAAAGGGGAAGCAGAGCATAAAAGTTTGGAAAATTTGCAGCTAGAAGATCCGATAGAAAAGAAAAACACATTTTCTGAGGAGAAATTCAAGCCAGCTGCAGAAATTTGCATACATAACAAGGAGCCAAATGTTAATCACCAACACAGTGGGGAAAATGTCTCCAGGGCATATCGGAGGTCTTCACAGCAGTCCCTCCCATCACAGGCCTGGAGACCTAGGAGAAAAAATGATTTAATGGGCAGGGCCCAGGGCCTTGCTGCTTTGTGCAGTCTCGGGACTTGGTGCCCTGCATCCCAGCCATGGCTAAAAGGGGCCAATGTAGAGCTTAGGCCATTGCTTCAGAGGATGCAAGCCCCAAGTCTTGGTGGCTTCCATGTGGTGTTGGGCCTGTGGGTGAACAAAAGTCAAGTATAGAGGTTTGGGAACCCCTACCTAGATTTTAGAGGATGTATGGAAACATCTGGAAGTCCAAGCAGAAGTCTGCTGGAGGGACAGAGCCCTCATAGAGAACCTCTGTTAGGGCAGTGTGGGAGGGAAATGTAGGGGTGGAGCCCCCAACACAGAGTTTCCACTGGGGCACTGCCTAGTAGAACTGTGAGAAGAGGGCCACCATCCTCCAGACCCCAGAATGGTAGATTCACCGACAGCTTGCACCAGGTGCCTGGAAAAGCTGCAGACACTCAATGCGAGTCCATGAAAGCAGCTGGGAGGGAGGCTGTACCCTGCAAAGCCACAGGGGCAGAACTGCCCAAGGCTGTGGGAGCCCATCTCTTGCATCAGCATGACCTGGATGTGAGACATGGAGTCAAGAGTGATCATTTCAGGGCTCTGAGATTTGACTTCCCCATTGGATTTTGGACTTGCATGGGGCCTGTAGCCCCTTCGTTCTGGCCAATTTCTCCCATTTGGAATGGGTATTTACACAATGCCCATACCTCCATTATATCCAGGATGTAACTAACTTGCTTTTGATTTTATAGGCTCATAGGTGGAAGGGACTTGACTTGTCTCAAATGAGACTTTGGACTGTGGACTTTTGAGTTGATGCTGAAATGAGTTAAGACTTTGAGGGCTGTTGGGAAAGCATGATTGGTTTCGAATTGTGAAGATATGAGGTTTTGGAGGGACCAGGAGTGGAATGATATGGTTTGGCTGTGTCCCCACCCAAATCTCACCTTGATTTGTAATAACCCCCATGTGTCAAGGGTGGGGCCAGGTGGAGATAATTGAATCATGGGTGCAGTTTCCCCAATACTGTTCTCATGATAGTGAATAAGTCTCAGGAGATCTGATGGTTTTATAATTGGGAGTTCCCTTGCACAAGCTCTCTTGCCTGCTACTATGTAAGATGTGACTTTGCTCCTCATTCACCTTCCACCATGATTGTGAGGCCTCCCCAGCCATGTGGGACTATGAGTCAATTAAACCTCTTTCATTTATAAATTACCCAGTCTTAGGTATGTCTTTATCAGCAGCATGAGAACAGACTAATACAATGGCTAAGTGCCCAAAAGCAATTGCAACAAAAACAAAAAATTGAAAAATGGGACCTAATTAATAAACAGATTCTGCACAGCAAAAGAAATCATCAACAGAGTAAACAGACAATCTACAGAATGGGAGAAAATATTCACAGACTATATATCCAAAAAAGGTCTAATATCCAGAATATACAGGAATTGAACAATCACAGCAAAACATCCATTTTTAATGAGCATTTCTCTAATAATCAGTGATATTGAGCTTTTCTCATATATTTGTTGGCTGCATGAATGTCTTCTTTTGGAACGTGTCTGTTCATGTCCTTTGCCCACTTTTTCATGGGGTTGTTTGTTTTTCTTGTAAATTTGTTTAAGTGCCTTGTAGACTCTAGATATTAGACCTTTGTCAGATAACTGGATTGCAAAAATTTTCTCCCATTCTGTAGGTTTTCTGTTCACTTTGATTATAGTTTCTTCTGCTGTGCAAATGCTCTTCAGTTTAATTAGATCTCATTTGTCAGTTTTTGCTTTTGCTGCAATTGCTTTTGGTGGTTTCATCATGAAATCTTTGCTCGTGCCTATGTCCTGAGTGGTACTGCCTAGATTTTCTTCTAGGGTTTTTACAGTTTGAGGCTTTACACTTAAGTCTTTAATCCATCTTGAGTTAATTTTTGTATAAGGTGTAATCAAAATCACAATGAGATACCGTATCACACCAATCAGAATGGCAATTATTAAAAAGTCAAGAAACAACAGATGCTGGCAAGGTTGTGAAGGAAAAGGAACAGTTTTACACTGTTGGCGGGAATGTAAATTAGTTCAACCATTGTGGAAGATAACGTAGTGATTCCTCAAAGAGATAAAGACAGAAACACCATTTGACCCAGCAATCCCATTACTGAGTATATACCCAAAGGAATATAAATCATTCCATTATAAAGATAACTGTATGCGTATGTTGATTGAAGCGCTATTCACAATAGCAAAGATATGGAGTCAACCTAAATGCCTATCAATGATAGACTGGATAAAGAAAATGTGGTACATATATACCATGGAATACTATGCAGCCATAAAAAGTAAAAAAGAGCATGTCCTTTGCAGGGACATGGATGGACTGGAAGCCATTATCCTCAGCAAACTAATGCAGGAACAGAAAACAAAATACCAGAAGTTCTTGTTTATAAGTGTGAGCTAAATGGTGAGAACACATGGACACATAAAGGGGAACAACACACATTGGGGCCTTTTGGAGGGTGGAGGGTTGGAGTGCATCAGGAAGAATAGCTAATGGATGCTGGGCTTAATACCTAGGTGATGGGTTGATTTGTGCAGCAAACCACCATGGCACACATTTACCTATGTAACAAACCTGCACATCCTGCACATGTACCCTGGAACTTAAAATAAAAGTTGATGGAAAAAATGGGCAAAGGACATGAACAGACAATTCTCAAAAGAACACATACATACAGCCAATAAGCATAGGGAAAAAGCTCAATATCACTGATTATTAGAGAAATGCAAAGCAAAACCACAACAATATAGCATCTCACACAAGTCAGAATGACTATTAGAAAAAGTTGAAAAGCAACAGATGCTAGTGAGGCTGCAGAGAAAAGGGAACACTAATATACTGTTGGTGGAAATGAAAATTAATTCAGCCACTGTAGAGAGCAGTTTGGAGATTTCTCAAAGAACTAAGAATTAAACTATCATTTGACCCAGCAATCCCGATACTGGGTGTATATCCAAAGGGAAATAAATCATTCTACCAAAAAGACACATGCACCCATATGTTCATTGCAGTACTATATTCAAAATTGCAGGCTGAGCACTATGGATCACGCCTGTAATCCCAGCACTTTGGGAGGCCAAGGCGGGCGGATTGCCTGAGGTCAGGAGTTTGAGACAAGCCTGGCCAACGTGGCGAAATCTCATCTCTACTAAAAATACAAAAATTAGCCGGAGATGGTGGTGGACACCTGTAATTCCAGCTACTGGGGAGACTGAGGCAGGAGAATCACTTGAACTGAGGAGGTGGATGTTGTAGTGAGCCAAGATCATGCCACTGCACTCCAGCCTGGGCAACAGAGCGAGACTCCGTCTCAAAAAAAAAAAAAATAGAAAAGACATGGAATCACCTATGTGCCCATAAATGGTATATTTGATAAAGAAAATGTGGTACAAATACACCATGGAATACTATGCAGCCATAAAAAGAATGAAATCATGTCCTTTGCAGCAACATGGATGGAACTGGATGCCATAATCCCAAGAGAATTAACACAGGAACAGAAAACCAAATACCACATGTTCTCGCAAGTAAGAGCTAAAGATTGAGCACACATAGATATAAAAATGGGAACAATAGACCCTGTGGACTACTAGAGGTGGGAGGGGGTGAGGGAGAGTGGATTGAAAAACTTCCTAATGGGCACTAGACTCACTATAATATACCCATGTAACAAACCTGCACATGTACCCTCTATATCTAAAATAAAAGTTGAAATTTTTTTTTTTTTTTTTTTTTTTGAGACGGAGTCTCGCTCTGTCGCCCAGGCTGGAGTGCAGTGGCGGGATCTCGGCTCACTGCAAGCTCCGCCTCCCGGGTTCACGCCATTCTCCTGCCTCAGCCTCCCGAGTAGCTGGGACTACAGGCGCCCGCCACTACGCCCGGCTAATTTTTTGTATTTTTAGTAGAGACGGGGTTTCACCGTTTTAGCCGGGATGGTCTCGATCTCCTGACCTTGTGATCTGCCCGCTTCGGCCTCCCAAAGTGCTGGGATTACAGGCGTGAGCCACCGCGCCCGGCCAAAAGTTGAAATTTTTTTAATGAGACAGAGATATTGGATCCTGAAAAGAAAAGAAATCAAGGCCGGGCACCGTGGCACATGCCTGTAATCCCAGCACTTTGGGAGGCCAAGGCAGTCGGATCACAAGGTCAGGAGTTCAAAACCAGCCTGGCCAACATGGTGAAACTAAAATACAAAAATTAGCCAGGTGTGGTGGCATGCACCTGTAATGCCATCTACTCGGGAGGCTGAGATAGGAGAATTGCTTGAACCCAGGAGGTGGAAGTTGCAGTGAGCCAAGATTGCACCACTGCACTGTAGCCTGGGCAACAGAGCAAGATTCTGTCTCAAAAAAAAAAAGAGAGAGAGAGAGAAATCAAAAGGCAATCCCATTTACAATAGATGCCAAAAAATAAAATACCTAAGAATAAATTTAACCAGGGTGGTGAGAAACCTCTACAAGGAAAACTATGAAACACTGTTGAAAGGAGTTGAAGAGAATACAAGCAAATGGAAAGACATCCCATGCTAATGGATTGAAATAATTAATATTGCTAAAATGACCATAATACCCAAAGCAATCTACAGATTCAAGGCAATCCCTATCAAAATGCCAATGACATTCTTCACAGAATAGGAAAAAATATTTTAAATTTGTATGGAGCCACAAAAGAACCCCAAATAGCCAAAGCAATCCTGAACTTAAAGAACAAAACTGAAGGCACTACACTACCAGACTTCCAAATATACTACAAAGCTATAGTAACCAAAAACAGCATGGTACTGGCATAAAACCACACAAACAGACAAACAAAACAGAATAAAGAAACCAGAAATTTATTCACATATCTTCAGCCAATTGATTTTTACAAAGTCGTTAAGAACACTCAGTGATGAAAGGAGAGTCTCTTTAATAAATGACACTGGGAAAACTAAATATCCACATGCAGAAGAATGAAACTAGACTTCCACCTCTTACCCTATACAAAAATCAACTCAAAATGGATCAAAGACCTAAATGTAAGACTTGACACTGTAAGCTACTAGAAAAAAAAATAGGAGAAATGCTTCAGGACATTAGTCTGGAAAATGACTTTATGTATAAGACCTAAAAAGCATAGGCAACAAAAGCAAATATGAACCAATGGGATTATATCAAACTAAAATCTCTGCACAGCAAAAGAAACAAGAGAGTGAAAAGACAACCTACAGAACAGCAGAAAATATTCATAGACTATTCATCAGATAGGATATTAATATCGAGCCCATACAAGGAATGCAAACATCTCAACAGCAAAAATATGAACAATCTGATTTTAAAATGGGCAAATGATCTGAGCAGACATTTCTCAAAAGAAGACACACAAATGGCCGATAAATAAATGAAAAAACGTTCGACCTCACTCATCATCAGGAAAATTCAAACAAAACCATAATAAGGTAGTGTCTCACCCTCTTTAGGATGACCATTATCAAAAAGACAAAAATAACAAATGCTGGCAAGGATGCAGAGTAAGGGAATCTTTTATACACTATTAGTGGAAATGTAAATTAGTATAGCCACTATGGAGAATAGTATGGAGGTTCCCCAAAAAACTAAAAATAGAACTACCATATGATCTAGCAACCCCACTACTGGGAATTTATCCAAAGGAAAGGAAAGCAGTATATCAAAGAGACACCTGCACCTCCATATTTATTGCAGCACTATTCACAATAGCCAAGATATGGAATCAATATGTGTCCAACAACAGATGAATGGATAAAGCAAATGTGGTATACATCATGGAATACTATTCAGTTATAAAAAGAATGAAATCCTGTCATTTGCAGCAACGTGGAGGGAACTGGAGGACATTCTGTTAAGTAAAGTAAGCCAGAAACACAAAGTAAAACATCGCATATTCTCACTCGTATGTGGAAGCTAAGAAAAGTTGAGCTCACAGAAGTAAAAAGTAGAACAGAGACTACTAGATGCTGAGAAGGGTTGGGGAAAAGGGGGAATAGGCAGAGATTTGTTAAAGGTTACAAAATTACAGCTAGATAGGAGGAATAAGTTCTAGTGTTCTTTCTACAGCACTGTAAGATGACTGTAGTTAACAATGATGTATAGTTTCAAATAGTTAGAAGGAGGAAATTGAATGCTTCCAACACAAACAAATAATAAATGTTTGAGGTGATAGATATGCTATATACTGATCAGATCCTGATCTGATCACTATACAGTATATGTATTGAAACATCACTATATACCCCATAAATATGTACAATTATTACAAGTCAATTTAAAATAATACCAAAAAATTAAAATTAAAAAAAATGAAGTCAGCATTTTGTTTTTCATTCAAAACCTTGTCATTCTTTTTTATTTTTTGAGATGGAGTTTTGCTCTTGTTGCCCAGGCTGGAGTGCAATGGCACGATCTTGGCTCACTGCAACCTATGCCTCCCAGGTTCAAGCAATTCTCCTGCCTCGGCCTCCTGAGTAGCTGGGATTACAGGCATGCGCCACCACGCCTGGCTAATTTTGTATTTTTAGTAGAGATGGGGTTTCTCCATGTTGGTCAGGCTTGTTTTGAACTCCCGACCTCAGGTGATCCACCCGCCTTGGCCTCCCAAAGTGCTGGGATTACAGGCCTGAGCCACCATGGCTGGCCCCTTGTCATCCTTTTGTATGCACTATTATGTCTCCGTTGGCATAGTTTAACCTAGTACTCTATACTTTTCTTTCCTAATACTTATCACAGTTTAGAACTATATTTATTGATTTTATTTATATTCTGTTTCCCCCACTAGACTTGTCCACTAAATGTAAACTATGTCTGTTTGGCTTACTATCCTATTTCCAGAACCTGGCACATAGTAGGCACTCAATAAATTTGTGTTGAATGACTACACGACACCATAATCCTTGCGATCACCCAATCTAGAAACTTGGGAGTTATCCTCCCTCATTTGCCATGTTGTGACTCCACAATGAGTCATCAATTCTTATAGATTTTACTTCCTCAACAACTCATATCTATCACCAGTGCTCATATCATTTCTTAAAGCATGTAATAGTTCCCTTTTTTTTTTTTTAGATGAAGTCTCACTCTGTCACCCAGGCGGGAGTGCAGTGGCATAACCTTGGCTCACTGCAACATCTGCCTCCTAGGTTCAAGTGATTCTCCTGCCTCAAAAGCCTATTTTCGTCATATAAAGTTCCTAAACAGGGACATTCTCAGTTGCCTCTGTTATCATGGTAGTTTTGTTCACCATATATTTTGAGATGGGTTTTTTGAGCTCTCATTACCTTTATAGTTTATAACATAGTTGCCTACTGAAGTGTATTTATTTTGTAATAAAGGCTACCATTACCAAATGATAGGTTTGGCTCTGTCCCCACCCAAATCTCATCTTGAATTTCCATGTGTTGTCGGAGGGACCCAGTGGGAGATCACTGAATCATGGGGGCAAGTCTTTCTCAGGCTCTTCTCATGATAGTGAATAAGTCTCACAAGATCTGATGGTTTTAAAAAGGGGAGTTCCCCTGCACAAGCTCTCTTCTCTTGTCTGCCACCATGTGAGATGTACCTTTCACCTTCCACCATGATTGTGAGGCCTCCTCAGCCATGTGGAACTGTAAGTCCAATAAAACTCTTTCTTTTGTAAATTGCACAATCTTGGGTATGCCTTTATCAGCAGCATGAAAACGGACTAATACAGTAAATTGGTACCAGTAGAGTGCAGTGCTGCTGAAAAGATACCCGAAAATGTGGAAATGACTTTGGAACTTGATAACAGGCAGAGGTTGGAACAGTTTGGAGGGCTCAGAAGAAGACAGGAAAATGTGGGAAAGTTTGGAACTTCCTAGAGACTTGTTGAATGGCTTTGACAAAAATGCTGATAGTGATATGGACAATGAAATCCAGGCTGAGGTGATCTCAGATGGAGATGAGGAACTTGTTGGGAACTGGAGTGAGGGTTACTCTTGCTATGTTTTAGCAAAGATACTGGCAGCATTTTGCTCCTGCCCTAGAGATTTGTGGAACTTTGAACTTGAGAGAGATGAGTTAGGGTATCTGGTAGAAGAAATTTCTAAGCAGCAAAGCATTCAAGAGATGACTTGGGTGTTGTTAAAGGCATTCAGTTTTAAAAGGGAAACAGAGCATAAAAGTTTGGAAAATTTGCAGCCTGACAGTGCAATAGAAAAGAAAATCCCATTTTTTAAGGAGAAATTCAAGCTGGCTGCAGAAATTTGCATAAGTAACAAGGAGCTGAATATTAATCACCAAGACAATGGGGAAAATATCTCCAGGGCATGTCAGAGACCTTTGTGGCAGCCCCTCCCATCACAGGCCCAGAGGTTTGGGAGGATAAAATTGTTTTGTGGGCTGGGCCCAGTGTCCCTCTGCTGTGTGCAGTCTAGGGGCTTAGCGCACTGCATCCCAGCCACTTCAGCTGTAACTAGAGAACCTCAGCCTAGATTTCAGAAGATGTATGGAAAAGGCTGGATGTCCAGGCAGAAGCTTGCTGCAGGGGTGGGCCCTCATGAAGAACCTCTGCTAGGGCAGTGCAGAAGGGAAATGTGGGGTCAGAGCCCCCACACAGAGTCCCTACTAGGGCAGTGCCTAGTGGAGCTGTGAGAAGAGGGCCACTGTCCTCCAGATCTCAGAATGGTAGATCCATTGACAGCTTGCACCGTGCACCTGGAAAAGCCACAGACACTCAATGCCAGCCTGGGAAAGCAACCAGAAGGGAGGCTATACCCTGCAAAGCCACAGGGGATGAGTTGCCCAAGACCATAGGAAACCACCTCTTGCATCAGCATGACCTGGATGTGAGACACGGAGTCAAAGGAGATCACTTTGGAGCTTTAAGATTTGACTGCCCCGCTGGATTTCAGACTTGCATGGGGCCTATAGCCCTTTGTTTTGGACAACTTCTCCCATTTGAAATGGCTGTATTTAAACAATGCCTGTACCCCCATTGTATCTAGGAAGTAACTAACTTGCTTTTGATTTTACAAGCTCATAGGTGGAAGGGACTTACCTTGTCTTGAATGAGATTTTGGACTGCAGACTTTTGAGTTAATGCTGAAATGAATTAAGACTTTAGGGGACTGTTGGGAAGGCATGATTGGTTTTGAATTGTGAGGACATGAGATTTGGGAGAGGCCACGGGTGGAATGACATGGTTTGGCTGTGCCCCAACCCAAATGTCATCTTGAATTTCCATGTGTTGTGAGAGGGACCCAGTGGGAAGTAATTGAATTATGGGGATGGGTCTTTCCCATGCTGTTCTCATGATAGTGAAGAAGTCTCACAGTATCTGGTGGTTTTATAAAGGGGAGTTCCCCCGCACAAGCTTTGTTCTCTTGTCTGCTTCCATGTGAGGCGTGCCTTTCACCTTCCACCATGATTGTGAAGCCTCCCAAGCCACGTGGAACTGTAAGTCCAATAAACCTCTTTCTTTCGTAAATTGCTCAGTCTTGGATATGTCCTTATCAGCAGTGTGAAAATGGACTAATACACCAAATATCTACCATGTGACAGATAATAATATTATGAGGTAAGTATTTATTGTTGTTATCATTATCTGAATTTAAGCGTGGTACTGAAGGCTTGGAGAGGTTAAGTAATACCCCCAAAGCCACACAGCTGTGACAAAGGCAAGATTCAAACCCTGGTTTATTTGATTATCAGAGTCTCTTCTCTTTTTACCACATCATTATTATCTCCAGTCATTAGAACCTATATTGTCATTGCCCACATGTTACTAGCTCTTCATAAGTTTTGAAGTACTCTGATACATTATCTCATTGAATCCTATTACAATGGTCTGGGAATGTGAGGCTTAGAGAGAAGTCCCTTGACCTAGGTCACAGAGTGAGCTAATGGAATTCAAGGCTTCTGACTCTGTCTGTATCGCTTTCCATTATATCACGCTTTGTTAGTACTCTCAGACAGGAAACTCATTTCTTTCTCATATTAGCTGTCAGCACAGAATTGAGCGCAAAGTTGCTGCTTAATATGTTTCTTGGTTTTAAAACTTAATTTAAAATAACGCTCAGGATTTTTACAAGTACAGCTTCCTAACAACTTGAGTGATAATATCTATCCCTTTAGTTTCTCAGAAAATAGAGTTTTCCTAAATTAATGTATTCATACTTGCTTGGTATATAACCAACCCTTAATTACTTCTTGCTTTCAAATCTTCAGTAACTTAACACTCTCTACAGTCTTCTAAATAGAATCAAATTATCTTACTTTATGATTTTGTATTCACAGGGTCTCACTCTGTCACTCAGGCTGGAGTGCAGTGGTGCAATCAGGGCTTACTGCAGCCTCAACCTCCTTAGGATCAGGTGATCCTCCCACATCAGCCTCCTGAGTAGCTGGGACTACAGCCACGTGCCACCATAACCAGTTAACTTTTGTATTTTCTGCAGAGACAGAGTCTCACTATGTTGCCCAGCTGGTCTCAAACTCCCGAGCTCAACAAATCTGCCCGCCTCAGCCTCCCAAAGTGCTAGGATTACAGGTGTGAGCCACCGCACCCAGCCTATGATCTCTTTTTCTCAGCAACATCCTTTTTTCTTTAATCTAGTCCTCCACTTAAATGCCAGTTCACAGAAACAGCAGAGAACTTTTCTACATACCTAAGAAATATCACCACTGTCCTCCTTTACAATATTCTTGTGTTCAAATACACAGTGAATTAAAGATGATTCTTAACATCTTAACTACTCACATTTCAGGTGGGAATTTTCTTTTAGTCTGTTGACACTAACACAAACATCATTGCTGCAGATTAAGCAATACTGTGCATTTTGGGGGGAAGGGTTCAGTCTTGGGTGAAAGGGTATAGTGACAATGAATCAGGAGCTTGAAAATGACCCACCCTGCTGCCAGCACTGCTACAGAATCTCTTGGTGGAGAGCCCAGATCCCTTCCAGTAAGCTGCTTAAAGTGTTTGATTCCATTTTTTATTTGGTTGCCAATTCATTAAGTGGTTAACCTTGGACTGCATCTATCAAGCATTTAATTAATTAAGGCTAGTTTGAAATACCTTTTGAAACGTTACTAATTTCAATACACCATGCTGGCACATTTTTAAGAATCCAGCAATTGCTGAAATACGAAATCATCTTCACTAAGATGCAATAGTTGCCAGAAAAGCACTAATCAAGAGCTAATTGTTATGATGAAAGGGTAAAAGCAATACAACATATTTTCTTTCCTCACAGTCTGAAAGAAGGAGAAAGGTGGTGATAATCACAGTTTTATGTAAGTTCAGAGCTAGAAAGCCTCCAAGGGACTACATAATCTCTTCTCTTTATTGTAAAATGGGGAAAGTGAAACACAGTACACTAAGTTAGTAGCAAAGTCAGGATTAGATTCCATGGCTCTAGTATATAACTATCCCCCATTTCCAGAATGACTTTTATTATGGAAAATTATTTTATTTCACTACTCGCCCATTCTACACTTCTATAGAGAATACTAGGGTGAGTTTGTAATGATGCTAAATAGCATTTGTGCATGTCATTAAAAAATTGCTGACCCACATTGTTGTTTTATCCTGTATCATGCTGGTGCAGAAACCCAGGGAGTGGTTTCAAAAGTCCAATTCCAAAGCCATTTCTTTCTCCTAAAATGAGAAGTAATCATTTTTCTCATTGTTTTTACTTGTCTACCACAGGTGCATTATTGACATCTGGAATATCAGGCCACAGTGATGCCTGTAGCCATTGAATTACACACAATGGTTTAGGCAAAAAGCATTTATATTTGTTTTTTTTTTTCTCAGCAAAGTTTTTTTCTTTATTGGTAATTTTTTTTGAGAAACATCTAGATTTTATTTTATTTTATTATTTTCTTTTTTTAATTATACTTTAAGTTCTAGGGTACATGTGCACAACGTGCAGGTTTGTTACATATGTATACATGTGCCATGTTGGTGTGCTGCACCCATTAACTCGTCATTTAACATTAGGTATATCTCCTAAGCATTTATATTTGGCATTGAACATCAGGACATGAGTTTATGGAAGCACTAAAGCTCATTAATATTATGCAAAGCCAAACAGAATGACAGTCTCAATTTTTTGAGTCCACACCAGCTGAATGCATGGCTCTGCATATGGTAATATTAGCAGAAAAATTAAAAAGGGGGTCAGATGCGAAGTAACCCTGCACTAGGCAACAATAATAAACATATCAGTGGTACTCAAATTGTACTCTGTGTAAAAACCACCTGGGAAAAAAAATTGCTAAAAATAAACTGAATGCAGATAGGGGCAGTAGTGGTTCCTAAATTAAGCTATGTGTGAATATGATTGAATTATAAGATATAATTATCTGAGATCCAGTACTGGATATTCTGATTCAGTCACTTTTAGGTGGAGCCTAAGCATTTGAACATTTATAAAACTATACAAATTAATCTGATATGCTGCCAGGTTTGGGAACCACTGGAATAAGGGACTCAAAGATGGTTTCATTCATTCCACTTTCTCCCAGCAAAACCATACATAAACCACCTTGAAACAAAGGTATATCTCTATTTTAAAAGGCTATTGGCCTCACTATTCTTCAGGAAAGTGAAAACTAAAAACTGAGTTAACTACAAAGGCTAAATTTTAAAAGATGGCAGAGTAGGAGGTTCCAGCCCTCATACCCCCACAGAAACACGGATTTAAAAACCATCAACTGATTAAAGTACCTTCAAGAGAGCTCAGAAATCCAGGTAAGAGGTTGCAGTGCCCAGATGGAGCACAGAAATAGAAAAGACTTATTTAAGACAGTGAAAAGAACAGTTTCATTTTACCCACATCTTATTCAAGACAAACAAAAATGGAAACATAACCTACCAAAAACCTATGGCGTGCAACAAAAGCACTACTAAGAGGGAAGTTTATAGAGATAACTGCTTACATTTAAAAAGAGATATCTGAAATAAACAACTTAATTTTACACCTCAAGGAACAAGAAAAAGAACAAACTAAGCCCCAAATTTGCAGAATGAAGAAAATAATAAAGATTAGAACAGAAATAAGTGAAATAGAGAACAGGAAATCAATAGAAAAAATCAAAGAAACTGAGTTGATTTTTCAAAAAGATAAACAAAATCAACAAATCCTTAGCTAAACTAAGAAAAAAACACTCAAATAAATACAATCAGAAATGAAAGAGGAGATACTACAACTGATGCAACAGGAAACAGGGATTATAAGTGACAATTACAAAGAAGTATATCTTAACAAATTGGACAACCTAGAAGAAATGGATAAATTCCTAGACTCATACAGCCTACCCATGCTGAATATGAAATAAATTAAAAGTCTGAACAGACCAATAACAAATATAGAAATTCAAGCAGTAACCCAAAAATTCCCAACAAAGAAACACTCAAGACCAGATGTCTTCACTGGTACATTCTACCAAACATGTAAAGAAAAATTAGTTCCAATCCTTCTTAAACTCTTCCAAAAAATATAAAAATATGGAGGACTGCCAAATTAATTCTGTGAGGCCCACATCACCCTAATACCAAAGCCAAAGATAACACAAGAAAGGAAACTGCAGACCAATATCCCTGATAAACATACATGCAAAAATCACCAACAAACTACTAGCAAAATGAATTCAAGAGCTCATTAAAAGCATCATAAACAAGGATCAAGTAGAATTTACCCCTAGAATATGAGAATGGTTTAACATACACAAATCAATCAATGTGATACACTGCATTAACAGAATGAAGGCTAAAAGTCAAATGATCATTTCAATAAATGAATAGCATTTGACAAAATTCAATAGGCTTTTATAATAAAAACTCTTAACAAATTAGGAATAGAAGGAACTAACCTCAACACAATAAGGGCCATTTATGAGGAGCCCAAAACTAACATCACACTCAATAGTAAAAAATCAAGGCCTTTCTTTAAGATCCAGAACAGGCAAAGATGCCCACTCTCACCTATCCTATTCAACTTAAAGTCCTAACCAGAGCAATTAGGCAATAAAAACAAATAAAAAGAATCCAAATAAGAAAGGAAGAAATGAAATTATCTGTTTGCTGATGACATGATATTATATGTAGAAAATCCTAAAGACTACACACACACACACACACACACACACACACACACACACACACACACACACAAACTATTAGAATAATAAATGAATTCAGGCCGGGTGTGGTGGCTCACACCTGTAATCCCAGCACTTTGGGAGGCCGAAGCGGGAGGATCACTTGAGGTCAGGAGTTCGAGACCAACCTGGCCAACATGGTGAAACCCCGTCTCTAATAAAAATACAAAAATTAGCCAGGTGTGATGGTGGGTGCCTGTAATCCCAGCTACTTGGGAGGCTGAGGCAGGAGAATCACTTGAAGCCAGGAGGTGGAGGTTGCAGTGAGCCAAGATCACACCACTGCACTCCAATGTGGGCGACAGAGTGAGACTCTGTCTCAAAAAAAAAAAAGAATAATAAATAATTCAGTAAAGTTTCAGGTTACAAAATCAACATATAAAAATGAGTTGCATTTTTATACATCAAAATAAACTATCTGAAAATGAAATTAAGAAAAAAATTTCACCTATAATAGCATCTGCTATAATTTGGATGTTTTCCCCCACAAAACTCATGTTGAAATTTGATCCCCAGTGTTAGAGATGGGGCATAATGGTAGGTGTTTTAGTAGTGGGGGCGGGTCCCTTATGAAAGGCTTGCTGCCATCCTCAGGTCAATGAGTTCTTATTCTATTAGTTCCTGGAAGAGCTGGTTGCTAAAAAGAGCCTGGCATCTCCCCGCTGTCTCTCTATTGCTTCCTCTCTCATCATCCGAACTCTGCACAAGCTGGCCCCTCTTCACCTTTCCAAGCAGCCTGAAGCTTTCACCAGACGCCCAATCTTACAGTCAGCAGAATTGTGAACCAAATAAACCTCTTTTCTTTATAAATTACAGTCTCAGGTATTCCTTTATAGCAACAGAAAATAGACTAAGAAAGCACTTAAATATGAATACCCCATTTTTCATGTGATATTTCACATTGCATGCCTATATCAAAACACCCCATGTACCCCATAAATATATGCACCTACTATGTACCCACAAAAATTAAAAGTTAAATTAAATTTAAAATTTTTTAAATTAAAAAATAATAATTCGTTACAAGCTCCTGGAACGTCGTCAGCTAGAAGAAATGCCAAACAAGTTTTCATCATTGCCGTATCAAGTTGCCTATCCGCTCATTTGGATTTTCCACAAAATGCAAATAAAGACAATAACAAAGTAATAGTTCCACCTTAAAAAAAAAGGTAAAAAATGTTTGCAAGGATGTGGAGAAAAGGAAACCTTATACATCATTGGTGGGAATGTAAATTGGTGCAACCGCTATGGAAAATAGTATGGAGGTCCTCAAAAAATTAAAAGAAATTGAAGTCAGAAGAGATGGTAGTTGCACTCCCATGTTCATTGTAGCATTATTCACAATACCCAAAATATGGAAACAATAAATGATGGAAGAATGGATAAAGAAATATAGTATATATACACGATGTGATTTTATTTGGTCTTTAAAAAGAGGGAAATCCTGCCATTCATGACAACATAAATGGACTCAGAGGACACTGTGCTAAGTGAAATATTCTTTAGATTTATGACACGGAAATACAAATACTACATGATCTCACCTATATGTGGAATCTAAAGAGATTGAACTTAGAGAAGCACAGAGTAGAAAGATAGTTGCCAGGGCCTGGAGAGTGGGGAAAATGAAATGATTTTGGTCAAAGGGCATAAAATTTCAGTTATATGGTGAATAATTTCTGAAAATTTAATGTATAACATGGTCACTATAGTTAATAATGTATAGTATACTTGAAATTTGTAAGAGAGTAGAACCTAAATGTTCTCATCACACACACAAAAATAGTAACTATATGAGATGGTGGATAAATTTATTGTGGTAATCACTTTACAATGTAACTATATATTAAAATATCATGTACATTTGAAATATAAACAATTTTTATGTGTCAAAAATAAATTACTCTTTTAAAGAGGAAAATACATGATTAGAGCAAAGAAATTACTAGAATTACTAAATGAATTCAACAAGATCACAAATATAAGATTGATATACAAAAATCAATTGTATTTCTATGTACTAACAAAGAAATGTCCAAAATGAAATTAAGAAAACAATTTTATTTACAGTGGCATCAAAATGATTAAAATACTTAGAAATAAAACATCAAAAGAAGTGTAAGATTTGTACAATGGAAATGATAAAACATTGCTAAGGGAAATTTTAAAAGATTTAAATAAATGGAGAGACACTCTGTGTTCATGGACCAGAAGCCTAAATATTGTTAAGATGGAAATTCTCCTCATATTGATCTATAGGTTCAATGTAATCTCTGTCAAAACCACAACAGGATATTTTTCAGAAGTTGACAAGCTGATATCAAAATGCAAAGGATCCAGAATGACAAAAACAGTTTTGGAAAAGAAGGACAAAATGCAGTACGTTTACTTCTCAACTTAAAATCTTATATAAAGCTATAGTAACCAAAACAATGAGGCACTGTCATAAACATAGACAAATGGATCAATGGAACAGAATTAAGAGTCCAGGAATAAACCCTTATTTTTATGGTCAATTGACTTGCAACACGGGTATGAATATAATTTAACGGAGAAAAGGTTATCTTTTCTACAAATATTTCTGGCACAATTGGATACTCATATAAAAAATGAATATGAACCCTTTTCTCATATAATATACCAATATTAACTCAAAATGTATCATAGACATAGAAATAAAAGCCAAAACTATAAAACTTTCAAAAGAAAAATAGGACAAAATATTTTCTTTTTTTTTTATTTGCAATCCATTTATTTGGGTAGACTTGAAATACAACAGGGACATTCAAAAGTTTGAGCAATAATTTATGCTATATTTATAGCATAGCCAGATTTCATTCCCAGAATTTCTATCTCCCCTGTGATATTTTGCTCTGATTTATGAATTTATTTGTACTAAAATCAGGTAAGTCAAGCATTTATTCTAAACTCCCAGTCTGTTTTTTATAACTTATGTGGTTTGTACACTTTCCAATTATTAATTCCTTCAATTATTCATTCAGCAAATATTGACTGTCTTAGAGACACAGTGGACACTATTTTTTTTGATACTTTAAGTTACAGAGTACATGTGCACAACGTGCAGGTTTGTTACATATGTATTCATGTGCCATGTTGGTGTGCTGCACCCATTAACTCATCATTTACATTAGGTATATCTCCAAATGCTATCCCTCCCCTGTCCACTCACCCCACGACAGGCCCCGGTGTGTGATGTTCCCCTTCCTGTGTCCAAGTGTTCTCATTGTCCAATTCCCATTTATGAGTTACAGCATGTGGTGTTTGGTTTATTGTCCTTGTGATAGTTTGCTGAGAATGATGGTTTCCAGCTTCATTCATGTCCCTACAAAGGACATGAAGTCATCCTTTTTTATGACTGCATAGTATTCCATGGTGTATATGTGCCACATTTTCTGAATCCAGTCTATCATTGGTGGACATTTGAGTTGGTTCCAAGTCTTTGCTATTGTGAATAGTGCCACAATAAACATACATGTGCATGTGTCTTGATAGCAGCATGATTTATAATCCTTTGGGTATATACCCCAGTAATGGGATGGCCTGGGTCAAATGGCCATTTCCTAGTTCTAGATCCTTGAGGAATCACCACACTGTCTTCCACAATGGTTGAACTAGTTTACAGTCCCACCAACAGTGTAAAAGCGTTCCTATTTCTCCACATCCTCTCCAGCACCTGACTTTTTAATGATCACCATTCTAACTGGTGTGAGATGGTATCTCATTGTGGTTTTGATTTGCATTTCTCTGATGGCCAGTGATGATCAGCATTTTTTCATGTGTCTGATGGCTGCATAAATGTCTTCTTTTGAGAAATGTCTGTTCATATCCTTCACCCACTTGTTGATGGGGTTGTTTGTTTCTTTTCTTATAAATTTGTTTGAGTTCTTTGTAGATTTTGGATATTAGCCCTTTGTCAGATGAGTAGATTGCAAAAATTTTCTCCCATTCTATAGGTTGCCTGTTCACTCCGATGGTAGTTTCTTTTGCTGTGCAGAAACTCTTTAGGTTAATTAGATCCCATTTGTCAATTTTGGCTTTTGTTGCCATTGCTTTTGGTGTTTTAGATATGAAGTCCATGCCCATGCCTATGTCCTGAATGGTATTGCCTAGGTTTTCTTCTAGGGTTGTTATGGTTTTAGGTCTAACATTTAAGTCTTTAATCCATCTTGAATTAATTTTAGTATAAGGTGTAAGGAAGGGATCCAGTTTCAGCTTTCTCCATATGGCTAGCCAGTTTTCCCAGCACCATTTATTAAATAGGGAATCCTTTCCCCATTTCTTGTTTTTCTCAGGTTTGTCAAAGATCAGATGGTTGTAGATGTGTGGTGTTATTTCTGAGGCCTCTGTTCTGTTCCCTTGGTCTATATCTCTGTTTTGGTACCAGTACCATGCTGTTTTGGTTACTGTAGCCTTGTAGTATAGTTTGAAGTCAAGTAGCGTGATGCCTCCAGCTTTGTTCTTTTGGCTTAGGATTGTCTTGGCAATGCAGGCTCTTTTTTTGGTTCCATATGAACTTTAAAGTAGTTTTTTCAAATTCTGTGAAGAAAGTCATTGGTAGCTTGATGGGGATGGCATTGAATCTATAAATTACCTTGGGCAGTATGGCCATTTTCACGATATTGATTCTTCTATCCATGAGCATGGAATGTTCTTCCATTTGTTTGTGTCCTCTTTGATTTCATTGAGCAGTGGTTTGTAGTTCTCCTTGAAGAGGTCCTTCTGGTCCCTTGTAAGTTGGATTCCTAGGTATTTTATTCTCTTTGAAGCAATTGTGAATGGGAGTTCACTCATGATTTGGCTCTCTGTTTGTCTGTTATTGGTGTATAAGAATGCTTGTGATTTTTGTACATTGATTTTGTATCCTGAGACTTTGCTGAAGTTGCTTATCAGCTTAAGGAGATTTTGGGCTGAGACAATGGGGTTTTCTAAATATATAATCATGTCATCTGCAAACAGGGACAATTTGACTTCCTCTTTTCCTTTTTGAATACCATTTACTTCTTTCTCCTGCCTGATTGCCCTGGCCAGAACTTCCAATACTATGTTGAATAGGAGTGGTGAGAGAGGGCATCCCTGTCTTGTGCTGGTTTTCAAAGGGAATGCTTCCAGTTTTTGCCCATTCAGTATGATATTGGCTGTGGGTTTGTCATAAATACCTCTTATTATTTTGAAATACGTCCCATCAATACCTAATTTATTGAGAGTTTTTAGCATGAAGGCTGTTGAATTTTGTCAAAGGCCTTTTCTGCATCTATTGAGATAATCATGTGATTTTTGTCTTTGGTTCTGTTTATATGATGGATTATGTTTATTGATTTGCGTATATTGAACCAGCCTTGCATCCCAGGGATGAAGCCCACTTGAATCATGGTGGATAAGCTTTTTGATGTGCTGCTGGATTTGGTTTGCCAGTATTTTATTGAGGATTTTTGCATCAATGCTCATCAAGGATATTGGTCTAAAATTCTCTTTTTTTGTTGTGCCTCTGCCAGGCTTTGGTATCAGGATGATGCTGGCCTCATAAAATGAGTTAGGGAAGATTCTGTCTTTTTCTATTGATCGGAATAGTTTCAGAAGGAATGGTAGCAGCTCCTTCTTGTACCTCTGGCAGAATTCGGCTGTGAATCCATCTGGTCCTGGACTTTTTTTATTGGTAGGCTATTAATTATTGCCTCAATTTCAGAGCCTGTTATTGGTCTATTCAGGGATTCAGCTTCCTCCTGGCTTAGTCTTGGGAGGGTGTATGTGTCCAGGAATTTATCCATTTCTTCTAGATTTTCTAGTTTATTTGCGTAGAGGTGTTTATAGTGTTCTCTGATCATGGTTTGTATTTCTGTGGGATCAGTGGTGATATCCCCTTTTATCATTTTTTATTGCGTCTATTCGATTCTTCTCTCTTTTCTTCTTTATTAGTCTTGTTAGCAGTCTACCAATTTTGTTGATCTTTTCAAAAAACCAGCTCCTGGATTCATTGATTTTTTGAAGATTTTTTTGTGTCTCTATCTCCTTCAGTTCTGCTGTGATCTTAGTTATTTCTTGCCTTCTGCTAGCTTTTGAATGTTTTTGCTCTTACTTCTCTAGTTCTTTTAATTGTGATGTTAGGGTGTCAATTTTAGATCTTTTCTACTTTCTCTTGTGGGCATTTAGTGTTATAAATTTCCCTCTACACACTGCTTTAAATGTGTCCCAGAGATTCTGATATGTTGTGTCTTTGTTCTCATTGGTTTCAAAGAACATCTTTATTTCTGCCTTCATTTCGTTATGTACCCAGTAGTCATTCAGGAGCAGGTTGTTCAGTTTCCATGTAGGTGAGCGGTTTTGAGTGAGTTTCTTAATCCTGAGTTCTAGTTTGATTACAATGTGGTCTGAGAGAGAGTTTGTTATAATTTCTGTTCTTTTACATTTGCTGAGGAGTGCTTTACTTCCAACTATGTGGTCAATTTTGGAATAAGTGCGATGTGGTGCTGAGAAGAATGTATATTCTGTTGATTTGGGGTGCAGAGTTCTGTAGCTGTCTATTAGGTCCGCTTGGTGCAGAGCTGAGTTCAATTCCTGGATATCCTTGTTAACTTTCTGCCTCGTTGATCTGTGTAATGTTGACAGTGGGGTGTTAAAGTCTCCTTTTATTATTGTGTGGGAGTCTAAGTCTCTTTGTAGGTCTCTAAGGACTTGCTTTATGAGTCTGGGTGCTTCTGTATTGGATGCATATATATTTAGGATAGTTAGCTCTTCTTGTTGAATTGATCCCTTTACCATTATGTAATGGCCTTCTTTGTCTCTTAAGGAAATGCCAATTAAAACCACAATTAGACACCACTATATACCTATTACAATGATTAAAATTAAAAAGAATTACCACAATGTAATCCATCCATGTAACAAAATTACACTTGCATCCCGTAAATTTATACAAATAAAAAACACTTTTATAAGAATTTTCATAGTAGTTAAGCCCCCAATAGAAAACAGCTCAAATCCCCAATAGAAAACAGCTCAAATGTCCAACAGGTGAATGAATAAACTGTGATACACTCATACAATGCGGTACTACTCAGCAATAAAAAGGCACATGCTATTTATACACAGTGTAATAGGGGTGAATTTCTCAAAATAATGATGTTGTGTTAAAGAAAGATATAACAGTGCCCATACTGTCTGACTTTGTTTTTTTTCTTTTCTTTTCTTTTTTTTTTTGAGATGGAGTCTCGCTCTGTCACCCAGGCTAGAGTGCAGTGGCACAATCTCGGCTCACTACAAACTCCACCTCCCAGGTTCATGCCATTCTCCTGCCTCAGCCTCCCCAGTAGCTGGGACTACAGGTTCCCGCCACCACACCCGGCTAATTTTTTGTATTTTTAGTAGAGACGGGGTTTCACAGTGTGTTAGCCAGGATGGTCTCGATCTCCTGACCTCGTGATCCACCCGCCTTGGCCTCCCAAAGTGCTGGGATTACAGGTGTGAGCCACCATGCCCAGCCTGTCTGACTTTGTTTATGTGAAATTCAAGAAAGGGCTAAACTATACTGACAGAGTGAGATGAATGGTTGCCTCAGACAAGGGATGTGATGTTGTGGGATTGACTGTAAATGTATAGAAGGAATGTAACTCTTGACTCTGGTGATGGTTACAGATATGTATGTCAAAATTCATAACTGCATACCTAAAATGAATTTTATTTTATGTAAATTCTATCTCAATAGTGTTGATTGTCAAAATAAGTTAATAAAGGCAGAAAGTGGCTATCTTCATTACTGGATTTAATAATATGAGGGTCTTTGTTAACCTTCAGAAGATAAGTTTTGGTGAAATGGTAGGTACAAAGTTGTGATTGTATTCAAGAGAGAATGGAGGAAAAAGGAATGGATATACTAAGCACAGACAATTCTTTCAATACTTTCTGTAGAAAGGAAGATGAAAATGACATGATAGCTTAACAGAATAATAAGATAAAGGGAAGCCTTCTAAAGACATTTGACAAGCTTGCATGCATAGTTATCTGTTGAGATAGGAGGAGACACTGGTAGTTTGAAGAGAGAGAAGATGCGAAATAGTTACCTAGGAGTGTGAGCTTACTGACAAAATAATGTAGGATTTCTAGATTGCAAAAAGATATAAAGCAAATGCAAACAAAAAAAGCAGTAGTAGTAATCTTAATGCTTCACAAGCTGAAAATTAATATGCACTAATAGGAATAAAGGAAAACACTATGTAGTGATTTTTTAAAACTAAGAAAATGATCAATGAATACACATAGCAGCTAAAGATTTAAAACAAAAGTAGTTATACATGCAAGGACATGTTGCTAACACAATTAGAGCAGTAGATTTCAATATACCTCCTTAAGGATTGGACGGATAAAACAAGTCAGAAAATTGGAATTTAATACATTCAAGAAACTGATTTAAAAGATGTATATAGAAAATTACATCTCTCAAACACAGGATAGGCAATCTTCATGCCCACAGAAAACCATAAAAATCAGTCATGTCTTTAAGCCATGAAGTAAACTTTCAAAACTGTTTTAAAGTATAGATTTCAAAGCAATATTTTCTGACCATAATTCAATAAAATAAGAAATAAATAATTTAAAAATGGTTGAAAATAATAAATGTTTAGAAAATGACCTTCCCAATGATAATAACTTTACAAAGATATTAAGAAAAGGTGTTTTAAGATATAAAGACTTATTTTTAATGAATCACCAAGCTGGAGAGAAAGTAAGAAATCCATAAAGACAGAAATATAAACTAAATGTGGGGACCTTGAAAGGTAAGTTAGCACTAAAGTTGACGTTTACCCAGAAAATATCTGCCAAACCTGAGTGACCTTGAGCTTCTGTTTTGACGAATGCACAGGGCACAGGAGACAGGCTATAAATCCTATAGCCTATCCAAAAGGACAAGTCTATTAGGACAGCTACATTTAGCTGGAACTTCAAAAGTCTTCACTATCAGTATAAAAGGGAACAGAAATGAATAGCAAAGAAACATGCTTAATTTTGACTCTGGAACTGGAGAAGTGGGGAAAAAAAGTCTCCCCTAAGAATTTCTAACCAAAAAGTGGCCCTCACTGCAGGTTTGTGGTCCAAAATACACACAACGTGTGAGGTCCCTCAAACCACAAGTCTCAACCAAAAATTTAAAGCTGTCCCAGGTTGGTAGTGCCCCCAGGTGACCAGCAGAAGCAAATGCAAATCCTTTCTGGAGAAGTACAAAGTTCCAAGGAACATGAGCTGAAAGTCAAAACTCACAAAATGCTGAAGGAAATAAGGCACCATGATTCTGAGTCAGGGGGAAAAAAAAGTTGAAAATATATAGCAGAATCAGACCTCCAAGGGGCTTCAGATATTGGAATTATCAGACACCAAATATTTTTAGACTATGTTTAATGTTTTTCAAGAAACAAAAGGTATTTAAAAATACAAGAAAGGGCCGGGCGCGTTGCCTCACGCCTGTAATCCCAGCACTTTGGGAGGCTGAGGTGGGTGAATCACAAGGTCAGGAGTTCGAGAGCAGCCTGGCCAACATGGTGAAACCCGTCTCTACTAAAAACACAAAAATTTTCCAGGCGTGGTGGTGGGTGCCTGTAATCCCAGCTACTCGGGAGGCTGAGGCAGGAGAATAGCTTGAACCTGGGAGGTGGAGGTTACAGTGAGCCAAGATTGCGCCATTGCACTCCAGCCTAGGCAACAAGAGCAAAACTCCGTCTCAAAGAAAGAAAAAAAAAAGCAAGAAACAAGAGATTATTTTTTAAATTATCCAGCATATTTAAACTTCTATGAGTGAAAAAAAGTTTTCACTTGTAGCTTTTTATTTTGACAGTTTCAGATACACATAAATGTCACAAGAACATTACAAAGAATTCATATATACCCTTCACCCATATCCTCCAAATGTTAAAATTTTACCACATTACTTTATGTCTATCTGTCCCTTCCATGCTCATTCTCTCTCCTCTCTCTGTTTCTGTCCACGCATATAAAAATATTATGAAATAAATATCATTAATTACATATTATTTATGACATGGTATTTATTTTTATGTATGTATTTTTAGTTAGTTTCTGAAGCATTAAAGAGTAAGTTGCATGATCTAGGCTCAGTGCAACCTCCACATCCTGGATTCAAGTGATTCTCCTGTCTCAGCCTCCCCAGTAGCTGGGATTACAGGCGTGTGCCTCTACGCCTGGCTAATTTTTGTATTTTTAGTAGAGATGGGGTTCACCATGTTGGCCAGGCTGGTCTCAAACTCCTGATCTCCAGTGATCCACCCACCTTGGCTTCCCAAAGTGCTGGGATTACAGGCATGAGCCACTGCGCCCAGCCAACTTACACTGAAATTTAATTGCCATTGTAACAGTATGAAGAGGTGAGACCATTAAGAAGTGATTAGGCCATGAGGGCTTTGCCCTCATGAATAAATCAATGCTGTTATCACAGGAGATGGTTAGTTACAAATGGTGAGTTAAGCTTCTCTCTCCCTTGCCCTTCTACCTTCTGCCATGGGATGACACAGCAAGAAGTCCCCATCAGATGCTGTCCCCTTAATCTTGGACTTCCCAGCGTTCAGAATTAAGAGCAATAAATTTCTGTTCAATTGTGTTAAGTGAAATAAGCCAGGCACAGAAAGATAAATACCACATATTCTCAATCACATGTGGAAGTGAAGTAAGTTGATCTCATAGAAGTAGAAAGTAGAAACTGGACGAATAAATTGTTAGGGATGTGTGACTATGTAAAAATCCAGAAGAAAGGTGGTGCTGGTCAAACAAAACAATAGATGTACTCTTCGGCTGCATTTCTTGCTCCCATTCTTGACTTTAACTTTTTTTAAAATTGGGGTATTCATCTAATTCATTTGTAAGAACACTTTATATATATTTAGGACCATACCTTTTGTCTGGCATATATATTGCAAACTTATTTAAGATATTGTTAGTTCTTTATTTTAATTATAGTATTTTAAAGAAATTTTAAATTTTATATAATCAGATATGTAATTGTTCTTACTATTTCTGCCTTTTCTTTGTTGCTTAGGGAAAAGGGCCTACATAAAGGGTCTCCTATATTTTTCTCCATTTCTTTTGTTTATTTATTTATTTATTTATTTATTTATTTATTTTATTTATTTTTTTGAGACAGAGCTTCTCTCTTGTTGCCCAGACTGGAGTGCAATGGCGCGATCTCAGGTCACTGCAACCTCCACCTCCCGGGTTCAAGCGATTCCCCTGCCTCAGCCTCCCAAGTAGGTGGGATTATGGGCATGTGCCACCACACCTGGCTAATTTTTTGTATTTTTAGTAGAGATGGGGATTCACCATGTTGGCCAGGCTGGTCTTGAACTCCTGACCTCAGGGGACCCACCCGCCTCGGCCTCCCAAAGTGCTGGGATTACAGGTGTGAGCCACCGTGGCCGACCTCTTTTACTTTCTTTTTTTATGTTTAACTATTTTTTCCACCTGTAGTGTATTTTGATGTATGCTTATGAAGTAATGATCAAATTTAGTTTTTTACTGTAATTGATAAAACAACTCATTCTTTTCCAACTAATTTGAAATGATACACTTTTTTATATAGCAAATATTTATGCATAGTTGCACTTATTTTTTCCATTCTGTTTTTTGTTTCTATTATTTTACTGCTAACAAATATTTTAATTATTGTAACTTTATAATGTTTTAATATCTAAAAGTGAAAATCACTCCCTGGTATTTTTTTAAGAATGCTATTGGCGGCCGGGCGCGGTGGCTCACGCCTGTAATCCCAGCACTTTGGGAGGCCGAGACGGGCGGATCACGAGGTCAGGAGATCGAGACCATCCTGGCTAACACGGTGAAACCCCGTCTCTACTAAAAATACAAAAATTAGCCGGGCGTGGTGGCGGGCGCCTGTAGTCCCAGCTACTCGGGAGGCTGAGGCAGGAGAATGGTGTGAACCCGGGAGGCGGACTTGCAGTGAGCCGAGGTCGCGCCACTGCACTCCAGACTGGGCGACAGAGCGAGACTCCGTCTCAAAAAAAAAAAAAAAAAAAAAAAAGAATGCTATTGGCTATTCTTGTGCATAACTTTTCCATATGAATTTAGGGATCATTTTAACAGGTCCCTCCCCACAAGTAATCCTATTGGGATACCTATAGAAATTGCATTAAACCTAAAAACTAAATTGGGGACCGGGCGTGGTGACTCACGCCTGTAATCCCAGCAGTTTAGGAGGCCGAGGCGGACAGATCACCTGAGATCAGGAGTTCGAGACCGGCCTGGTCCAAATGGTGAAACCCCATCTCTAATAAAACTACAAAAATTAGCCAGGCATGGTGGCAGCCACCTGTAATCTCAGCTACTTGGGAGGCTGAGGCAGAAGAATCGTTTGAACCTGGGAGGCGGAGGTTGCCGTGAGCCAAGATCATGCTGTTGCACTCCAGCCTGGGCGACAAGAGTGAGACTTCTTATCAAAAAAACTAAATTCAGAAGAAATAAACACCTCATGACATTGAAATCTTATGACATTTCCCCTTCTAGGTACATAGTAGGTTTGTCCAATTATGAAAGTATTCTTTTAAGTCCCTCAGTAAGGTTTTAAAGTATTGTACATATCCTAGTATTGCACAGATTATTTTTATTGTATTGTTTTGTTTCTGTAGGGGTTACTTTTTCAGCATATCTTCTAAATCGTTATTTTTTGTTTATTGGAATAGAAAGCTATAGATTTTAAATTACCTTTATAATACCATACTGAATCTTCTTATGAGTTGTATTTCTTCTTGTCAGTATTTGGTAGGTTTTATTTTTTCTCTTATTATATTGAAAAAGACTTTTGGAGCCATGTCATGTTGGTAATGGTCATCTGTGTCTCGTTTCTAAGAATGAGTATTGGTTACAGATAGTCTGTATGACGTTAAGGAAATATTATTTTACCATAGTTTCCTGTGGTTTAAAAAGATAGTTATAATTGATATATTTTATCAAATAACTTTTGGATAATCCTTTCCATTATGGAGGAAATATTTTAAAACCTATTTGAGATAATAATTTATATTTTAGATTTCTTTGTATTAATTTTATTTTATTATTTATTATTTATTTCACTATTTTATTCCTGGCATAAGTTTTACTTCGTTATGATGTCTTCTTTAGTTTGCTAACATTTTAAAAGGGTTTCAGCCTGTTCTAACTGATATTCTGTGACTTTATAATATTTGGGAGTTTTTTACATTTTGGCATCCACTTCATAGAAAGAATATGATGCTGTCCATCAGTTTAAATGTTTTGGAACCATGAAAATGTCTATTCCATGAAGGTCTGTAATAATGTGCCTGAAAAACCTTATTTTTCTTTTTCATTCTTCCAACTTTTATTTTAGGTTTAGTGGGTACATGTGCAGGTTTGTTACATGGGTAAATTGCATGTCACTGAGGTTCGGTGTGCAAATGATTTTGTTACCCAGGCAGTGAGCATAGTACCTGATAGGTAGTTTATCAATCTTCACCTTCCTCCCACCCTCTACCCTCAAGTAAGCTCCTGTGTCTATTGCTCCCCCCTTTGTGTCCACACGTACTCAATGGAAAAACCTTATTTTTCATAAATTCAATTTCTTTCATGTTTCTTGATCTACTTAGCTTTTTATTTCTCCCAGAATCAATTTTGGTACTGCTTTTTTAGATAATCTCTTTTTCATCAGTAGTTTAGAATTATTTTTATAGACTCATTAGTGATATTCTTTACTAAAATTTTCACTTTGTTGAGTTCTCAGTGGTTATACCTACTTCCTTATTTTGACTTTGGGTAATTCTTACCTCTCATTTTTCTTGATCAACCTTGCTAGACATGACAGACTGACAGCTATACACCATAATCTGTATTATATTGACCTTTCTGGGCTCATTAAACAGACTACATTTTTCAGCCTTCCATGCTGAAGTGGCCAGTTTGGAGTGGCCATATGACTGAGTTTTGGCCAATGAAATGTTAATAAGTGGTGTGTGCCACTTCCAGGTCTGGCACATATGAATGTTTCATTCACACTTCTCTATGCTTATTTCTTCTTTCAGAGGACTGTGATGGAGATAATCAATGTAACTTTAGATGCCATATATTGAAGATGGAAGAGTCGCTATCAGCTTGGATCCCTGAACGATCATGTAGAGACAAATCATCACTTGTCTACTAAGCATATCTGCCTTATACTGTTACATAATTGAGAAACTTTGTTGTCCTTGAACCATTTAACATTTTGAGGTCTATTTGCTTCTAATACACCCAATATTTATATATTTGTTTTTTCCAACACAAGAGGTTACAATTTATCAATTTTTCTGTTTTCTAAGTAATTACATGCAGTTTTTATTAATTACATTTTCCTGCTTACTTTGTTTTTACTGCTGCTGTTTTGTTCTAACTTATTGAATTCAATATATAGTACATTTATTTTCAGTCTTGTTTAGTAACCAAGGTACTTAAGGATTTATAAGTTCCTCAACAACAGTTTTTACTACAACCCATAAATTTTGAAAAGTAATACTCTCTTTGACCATATTTTTAAATAGTCTGTAGTTGTAATTTGTATTTCTTATTTGATCCAGGATTTATTTGCAGGATTTTTTAAAATGTCCCAGTAATTGTGATTTTATACAAACACTAAATAATTTCCAGTTTTTAAATACAATTGTGACCATTGCATTTAGCTTATATGATCTCTGTTTTGAGACTCAGGTGAGATTTTGTGACATAGTACCAGACAAAATTTCCATAGTGCTGAAAAAGAAAACTTCTTTTCTTGTATAAATGTGAATATTTAACCACATTTACTAATTTTTATCTCCTTGTTTATTTTTATCTACATGATATGTCAAAAACTGTCATGAGAATGTATGAAAGATTGTTAAATAGGCAAAAACGACTGGGTGTCCATTTAGTGGAATACTGGCAATGGAATTCCGGGTGATCCGATTTTGTAGAGTTGTGCATCTTTGTCTTTGACATGGCTATTTTACAACTCTAAAAGTTGTAGAAAACTAATGGCAGTATAAATGATTTTTGTCCATAGAAACACAAATGAGCACTGTCCAGTAGAGACACAAGTGATTTGCATACTATATAGAAAACATGATTCTGAACAGTTTTTCATCTGTTAAAAAATTCATTTCAGTATTCTAAACTCTGTGTGTGTGTGTGTGTGTGTATATAGTTTGCTCTTCAGATTTCTTTTTATTTTTAGTAATTACGGGTACATAATAGGTGTATATGTTCATGAAGTATATGTGATGTTCTAACATACGCATACAATGAGTAATATACACATCAGGGTAACTGGGGTAGCCATCATCTCAAGCATTTATCATTTATTTGTGTTAGGAGCATTCCAATTCTACTCTTTTAGTTGTTTTAAAATATATATTATTGTTGACTACAGTTACCCTGTTGTGCTATAAAATGCTGTATCTTATTCATTCCATCTAACTATATTTTAGCACCTATTAGCCATCCCCACTCCCCACTACCCTTTTCAGCCTCTGGTAACCATTATTCTACTCTCTATCTCCATGAGTTTAATTGTTTTACTTTTTAGCTACCACACTTGAATGAGAACTTGTGAAAACTTTTCTGTGCCTGGCTTATTTCACTTAATATAATATCCTCCAGTTCCATCCGTGTTGTTGCAAAGGACAGGATTTCATTATTTATGGCTCAATAATATTCTATTGTGTATATGTACCACATGTCCTTTATCCATTCATCTGTTGATGAACACTTAGGTTCATTCCATTTGGTTCTTTTTCGTAGTTTCTATCCCTTTGTTCATTTTATCATTTGGTTCAGGAATCGTTTTCCTGATTTCGTTTGCTTACCTATCTGTGTTCTCTGTTAGCTCACTGAACATCTATAAGATGGTTATTTTGACTAACTGTCAGATAATTCCTAGATCATGTCTCTAGAGTTAGTTTCTGGAACTTTATTTTGCTGAATTCAGCCATGTTTCCCTGTTTTGTTTTTCTGTGTGCCTTGTGATCTTTTATTGGGATTTGGGTATTTAAAAAGATAGCCATCTCTCCCAGTCTTAATGAATGGCTTCATAAAGGGAAAGACCTTCACCAGTCAGCTTGGCTAGAGAATCTGTGGACCTCTTAACCTCTTCTGTGAGCTTGTGCATGTAATTTCCCAGTGAAAAAGGTTTGCTCCTGTTTTCTTCTCAGGAGTCCACATTCTATTACTCCCCTTGGTGTCTATCTGTGGTATTGCAGAACGAGTTGTAGAAGAAAGTGATAATGGCAGGGAGATCAGTTGGAGGTTACTGAAATAGTCCAGAAGAGATATCAAGAGCTGAACTCAAGTACTCATAATGAAAATGATAAGTTAATAAATTTGGCAGCCTTTACAGAACTTAGAGACTGATTGGATATGAGGGATAAGATAAAAGACTGGGTTGGGAATAATTCTTAGTTTTTTACTTAAGTTACTATAAGAATGGTGTTATTAACCATGAGTGTGGGGAGAATGATGGAAAAATACCCCTTAAACTGATAAGATATAAAATGAAAATAAACATTAGTGCTACACACACAGAAATATTGAGAGGTGACAACGTGCTAGCGGCCCTTGCTCACTCTTGGTGCCTCCTCGGCCTAGGTGTCCGCTCTGGCCAGGCTTGAGGAGCCCTTCAGCCCGCCACTGAACTGTGAGGGCCCCTCTCTGGGGCTGGCCGAGGCCGGAGCCGGCTCCCTCTGCTCACGGGGAGGTGTGGAGGGAGAGGCACCGCAGGGAGCCAGGGCAGGGTGTGGAGCTCGTGAGCTGGCATGGGTTCTGGGTGGGCACGGGCTCCGTGGGCCCCGCACTTGGCGCCACCAGCCAGTGCCTGCTGGGCTTGATCCGGGATGAGCTCCCTCTGGGCTGCCGGAGTGTCCCTGCTGGGTGCCAGAAACTCCCGCAGCACAGTGACTGCCAGTGAGAGGTGAAGTCAGCTGGGCTTCTGGGACTGGTGGGGACTTGAGAACTTTTCTGTCTAGCTAAAGGATTGTAAAGGCACCAATCAGCACTCTGTGTCTAGCTAAAGGTTTGTAAATGCACCAATCAGCACTCTGTGTCTAGCTAAAGGTTTGTAAACACACCAATCAGCACTCTGTCAAAAAGGACCAATCAGCTCTCTGTAAAATGGACCAATCAGTAGGATGTGGGTGGGGCCAGATAAGGGAATAAAAGCAGACTGCCCCAGCCAGCAGGGGCAACCTGTTCGGGACCGCTTTCATGCTCATCACAGTAAATCTTGCTGCTCCTAGCTCTTTGGGTCTGTGCGGCCTTTATGAGCTGTAACACTCACAGCGAAGGTCTGCAGCCTCACTCCTGAGGCCAGCGAGACCACAAACCCACTGGGAGGGACAAGCAACTCCGGACCAGAGAAATGAACAACTCCGGATGCCCACCACCTTTATGAACTGGAGTGAAGCTGCAGACCAGGAAACCACTGGAAGGAATGAACAACTCCAGACGTGCCACCTTTAAGAGCTGTAACACTCACCGTGAAGGTCTGCAGTTTCAATCCTGAAGCTAGCGAGACCACGAACCCACCAGAAGGAAGAAACTCCGGACACACCATCTTTAAGAACTGTAACACCAGGAGGGTCTGCAGCTTCATTCTTGAAGTCAGTGAGACCAAGAACCCACCAATTTTGGACACAATGTGACCAAAGTTTACATCACAGATGAGAATACTTCAGGGTTTAGCACTTGGTAGGAAAAACAGGCATTTTGGCTTCTAACTCTAGAAACAAGTGATTATCTGTTACTCTTGTGTCACTCAAATCTATGTTCACAAACAGCACTACTGCATTTGGTGTCTTTTTTATCAAGAGACAGAGTCGTGCTCTGTTGCCCAAGTTGTAGTGCAGTGGCACAAAACAGCTCACTGTGAGCTCAAACTCCGATGTCAGCATCTTACTGTTCCTAAAAGGTTAGAAAGACAATAGCTGGCAGAAACTACACGTGTAGAAAAAAATAAACACATTCTTAGCTAGGAAGGTACCAGGAAGTATAAGTATTCTCTGTTTCCTCAAAAATCATAGTAAACTGAAGACCAAAAGATGGGTTAGATTCGTAGTTCTTCCTGAATATCCAATATTATTAAAAATTTTTATTGTGAATATCTGGCCATCACATACTTATACTGTCTTGACTCTAAAGTACATTTTCCTACTTAAAAGCTTTGGTCTGACAGTATGAAATGGGAAGATTATTTTTCATCAGCCAACTTGGAAATGAATTTCATATAACATGCTAAGAATTGCATGAAATTCATTTCTTTTTCTTAGGGAAGATAACAGAAATCACCTTTTAATAGTTTATTTATCTTAAATACTTTATCCAAATATAGAACTACTTCTATCCACAAAGTACATACCTAGAAAAATTCAAGAATAGAAATATCCCAGTAATATGGAGGCCAGGTTTCAGGCAACCTCAACTACTTGAAACACCACCCAGAACCTGAAAGCAAAACAGGCCTTTGAAGTACCGACCTAGCTGTCAAGTATGAACTTGCATACTTCATTTTCAAAAAGTATTCTTGCAAACTGTCATTTAGATAATATAATAGTTAATATTGTGAGTACTTATTATGCATCCATTGTTACTGTTTTCTGTACAAGAGACCATGAAATAAACTCCCAGATTCCACTGTTGGGGAAAATTTTGCCTCTCAAGATAAACACATTCTGTCAGATAATGATAATTAAAACCAAAAAAAACAAAAATATGTACTTCTCTTTTCTATTGGCTGCTATGAAGCACAGAGATAAATTTAGCACTCATAAAAAATAAATATTTTATCCTGGATTCCTCAAATAGTTTCTCTTCTTAATTTCTAATTTCCTTTCCAATCTATTTTTAATCTATCCTACCTTATGTTTTAATACTATAGGGCATCTCAAATCATTTTGTTAAGTTGATAAACTATGTCTTATAAATATTTATAATATTTATTTGTAGAATAAAAACAGTAAGAAAATGGATAGCAATTTAAGAGATGTCAAATATATCTCAGTAAAAAATTAGTGACCAATATAATACCAATAGAAAAACAAAACAAAGCAGAACAAGTCATTCACAAAATAATTAAAAACAAACAGCAATAAAAATAATTTTAAAACAAAAACACTTTTACAAAGGTTTAAGTTCATTCGTAATTAATAAATGCAAGTGAAAATGAGTTAGTTATAATTTATTGCCTATGAAACATCCACAGATAAGATAGAATGAAAATAGCAGCACTGACTAGAGTATGAAAAAGTTATTTTCATCACTTGATGTCCAGGTGTTGGAAATAAATTTTCGGTGCCACAAAAGAAATAGCACTCAAACATAAATTTTCTCAGCAAGGCAATTTTACTTCTATAGAAGGGTGTGTCTCACAGATGGAGCAATGGCGAGAACACACCTGAACAAGGGAGGGGAAGGGATTCTTATCCCTGACACAGGTTGCTCCTACTGCTGTGTCGTTCCCCTATTGGCTAGGGTTGGACCACACAGTCTAAACTAATTCCAATTGGCCATTTTAAAGAGACCAGGTGTACAAGCCAGAGAGGCGGGGTGAGCAGTTTTGGTGGGAAAGGTGGTTATGGAACAGGTGACTAAGGGAGACTCAGGTCAGAGCAGGTGACCAGGGGTGATTCAGGATGGAGCAGGTGACCAGGGGAACAGATGTGAACTACTGATTAGAACTGGCAGAAAGGTTGTTTACTGAAACTAGGGGCAAGGAGATGAAGAGAATGAGAAAGTTAAACTTTAAAATGGAGAACAAGGACCTGAACATACTGACATACTGATTCTTTGAAGAGAAACTTAGAACTCACTGTATTTAACACAGGGAAGGAGTAAATCAACTGGTATAATCTTTTCTGAAAAAAATCTGGCAATATACAACAATAGTTTTTAAAATTTATATATCCTTTGACTCGGAGATTCCAATTACAGAGACTTATCTGTGGCCAACTGCCACTGTTACTACTTGAGACCGTCACTATGACAGTTACTACTGTCACTACTTGAGACCATCATTACAAGACTGAATGAAGGGACGAACATAGAAATGAAAACTTAAGACAAAAGAAACTGTTTTAAAGGAAGGGTCCAGGGGAAGAAGAAGAGAGCTCCCTGCTTCTAGTGAGCATAGGCAGCCCCTGAGCTTCCACAGCCCTTCATATTTATTGGGTAGCAAGAGCAGGGAGGAGGAGGTAATGATTGGTTGGCTGCTTAATTGATAACAGGTTCATATTATTACCAACCGGCTTCAGATGTACCTAATCGCAAGAAACACTGTGCTTGGGTCGTGACTACCCTCAGCATTCCTTCTGGGCAGCAGATGCAGTTTGTCAGTTTACCAACATTCTGCATTGATGAGAACAGTTTGCTGCCCACTCATATAGCCTCCAGTGGTATACTGAGTTGATCACGACCCTCATTCTTTCGGCCTATGACATTTATCCTAAGGAAACATTTAAGTTTGTAGATAAAGCTTTGATTACAAGGTATTTTATCACATTGTATACAACATAGGTAAGCCAGAAATGTAATTGTTCAACAGTAGGTGATAAGTACTGTAACACACTTACATAATAGAATACTATGTAGTACTTAAGGTGATCTGTAAAACTATACTCAACATGGAAAGAGGTTCATAATACATTACTGAGTGAGAGAAATATATTACAAAATATTATGAATGGTATCATCCTATGTTTGCCTTCTCTGTGCCTGCCCTACTTTTGCTGAATATCACAGGAAAAAATAACCCCACCATGTTTTATAATAAATTCATGTTCACAAACCTCAAATCAACATATTATCTGACAATCTTACCACTTTTCCCCAAGTTTACTCTTCCCACTCTTTGAGCTGATTAGTCCATAAGTATTTCTCTTTCCTCAAACCACCAATACCACCTCTCCCAACTTATTCTGAGCCAATGAACTTGCTTTCCTTTTGTCATATTCTTAAAATGAAGGAGCTATCCTTTGCTTAAAGCTCAATGCCTTCTCACCATCCCCTCTTACCTTCTTTTCTCCTTTAGTCTTCCCCCTGCTGCCCTCCCTTGCTCGCATCACCAATTTTCCCATCTCTTTTAGATCCTTCTTACATGCAAATTTGTTCTGGGATATCCTAGCTTAAATAAAATCCTTTCCTGGACCTTACATCTCCATCTAGCTACCAAATTTCTTCCTCCCTTCAGGGAAAAACTTCTCAAAAGAGTTTTCTACACAAGCTATCTCTACTTCATCACCTCTTTGATGTGGCTTTTGTGAACCCAGAAAATGTCAGACAGGTCTCTCGCCCAGGTTGAGGATGCATGCCCGTGACACAGCCTCGGGAAGTCCTAAGGACATGTGCCCAAGGATGCAGCTTGGTTTTATACATTTTAGGGAGGCATGAAACATTAATCAAGTACATTTAAGAAATACATTGGTTTGGTCCAGAAACGCGGGACAACACAAAGAAGCGGGTGGGGGATCCAGGCCACAGGTAAATTTAAACATTTGCTGGTTGACAATTGATTGAGTTTGTCTAAAGACTTGGGATCAATAGAAAGGAATGCTTGGGTTGTGATGAGAAGTCGCAGAAACCAAAAAGTTTTATCATGCAAATGATGAAGCTTTTAGCTAGCAGGCTTCAGAAAGAACAGGCTGTAAAATGTTTCTTATCAGACTTAAAGTCTGTGTTGATGTTCATGCCAGAGAGGTATAATGAGGCGTGTCCAACCCCCACTTCCCTTCATGGCCTGAACCAGTCTTTCAGGTTAAATTTTAAGAGCCCTGGCCGAGGAGGAAGTCCATTTAGATGGTTGAGGGGGCCTTAGAATTTTATTTTTGGTATACACTTTTATCCCCACAATTCCAATAAAATGACACTTGAAAATATCAACAATAATATGATTCATGGTCCCAGTCAAGTTAACATTTTCCATCTTACTGTTACTTCAACCTTTTAAGCAGCATATGTATATCTGACCAAGCTCCTCTTGAAACACTCTCCTATTTCAGCTTCTGTGAGGCCACTTTCACCTGTTTTTTCTCCTACCTCTCTACACACTTTATTGACTTGTCCTGTTATGGTTGTTATTCCTCGATAAGACCTCTGAATATCGAAATTCCTGTGGGCTAGATGCTGGACCCTCTCGTATACATTTCTACCTTGGATGATCTCATTCCTGTCCATGGGTTTATATGCCAACTATGTGCTCATAACATCCAAATTTATATCTGTAACTCTGACATTTATGATTTCTGGCATCTAATTAATAAATGTTTGTTTTAAAAAATGTCACACACACACATACACAGAAAGTTCCCATTATCCAAGGACAGCTGGCACTGAAAATGCCACCAGAAGGGAATCAACTTAATAGGGGAACAAAATTTCATCAGAAATGATAGAAAAGAAGTTTTATTTGGGACTTTAGAAAACTAAAACCAAAAATTATTAAATTAAGCTTATTTAATCTTATTTTAATTTAAAATATTTAAATTTAAAATAATTTAAATTTTAATTTAAAATATAATTAATATAATTATATTAAAATATAATTAATTTAAAATTTAATTTTAATTGCAGCTATGCAATAATTTTTAGAATGGACAAAGAATGAAATAAGAACTATTTGAGGGATTTGGGGTAGTTCTCTGATAAAAGTGTTGAATGATACAGTATCCTTTACCTCATAAATAGGGTTATTTTTACCAAAACGTTTGAACAATTCACTGTTTCCTCCAAAGGTCTCTCATTAATTGGATATTCAAAATACCCATCACTCATCATCCAAGTGGATTTTTTTCACTTCAACTTAACTGATTTAAATCGTTTTTCATTGGCTTTGACATATTGAAATAGTTATCCAATACCACTTTCAACTTTATGAAATCCTGTGTATTTTCCAAGATTTATAATTCTACATTGCAATTAATTTCTTTTTTTTATTGTTAACATTCAATAGTCAACAGAGGACCAGTGATATGATGGACAATAATACGTGCTATTGTTTAGCAGAAAGGGGTTTTTGAGGAGGACTAATTTTATAAGTGGTTAATTTACTGGTGAAAATTTCTATGGTATAAGGGACTTTTCTTTACTATACATCATAACTTATAAGCACTCAGAAAAAAATTAAAAATAATTGTATATACACATACACACATGCACATGTCTACACATGTATATATAAAGTCTTGTGAGATAGAGGCCCCAAATTGCAGGATGAAAGTTGATTTTTATATTTTTCTTATTTCCTGTGACATTTTCTGATTTTTTTCTTATTTCCTGTGAACATTTTTTGATTTTTCTATTACTGGTCATGCATGACTTGTATAAATAAACTATCATGACTTATTAAATGAAAGTAGGCTTTGAATAGTGTTTGAAAACAATGAGGTTTATAGTCCCTGTCTGGTGACAGCTTTCATTTGCATTTGTATCACAAACTGTCAACTGAAATTAGACCTTGGTAGTCATGTAATTCTAGAGTCATTAAGCCCAAAATTACAGGGTACCAGTTGCTAGGGACAAATAACAGACTTGAAACTACAATATGAGAGATTAAGGTTATATTTACTAAAGAATATTCTGACAGTTCATGTTGTTAATTCTGGAAGCATGACTGCAAACTGAAAAATCTGACTCCAGTTTAGAATTAAATCAAATCCCATTTTGAGATTTGAGGATTAAATAAATAGGTTGTCATAGTCTCTGCTTTTTCAGCATTTTCTAAACCATGTTGCTTATCAGAATCATCTGGGTCTCTTGCTACAAATACAGATCCTCATGTTGCACCCTCAAAAATGTGACTTTGTAGGCCAGGAATATCAGCTAACCATAGGTGATTCTGAAGTAGCTTATCGATACAACCGTGTTTAGGAATCAATGTTTTAGGCCAATGGTTCTAGGAAGAAATCACCAAGCCCTTGGTGAATGAACATTTACACTCACTTCATGATCACATAACAGAGAGTTTCCTAGGGTATGGTCCTCTTTGGGCAATACAAATTGTGATACAATTTCTACTTGTATCAACTGCCTATCCTTCCCAACCAAAAAAAAAGTGAGAATCAACAGTGTTACTCCTCAGTATCAAGCACCAAAAAATAGAATGCAGCAAAATTTGAAAGGGAAAAGCAGTCACTTAAAGCAAACCTTTTGTCAGACTCCAATACATCCAGATCATAAAAAATTTAAAACTGAAAGAATTCTTAGACCAGCTAATTCAACCTCATAATTTTACAGATGAGAGTCAGAGAAATGAAGTCATATGATAGTGGCAGAGTTGTTACAAAACCCAGGACACAAGTACTCTTACACTTGTGTGTTTTTCCACTTTACCATGTATTTAATGAATCCATTATGAATATTATTGGAGTTCCTTGAGAGCATGTATCTCTACTACTTAGCACACTTCCTGGCACATGATGCCTGGGTAAAAGTTTGTTGAATTGAATGCTCTGTTTAAACTCCAAGTAGTAAAAATTAAAGTCATGGTGATAGCTTCTAAACATATTTACCTAGAATGTTGGCCTTTCTAATTTGTCGGAGTAAAGCTGTGTGAATAACTCTCTCAATAAATCTGGGACAACTGAATTATGTTGCCTTAATGACTGAAAAAAAGAGAAGTCCCTTTTGTGGGATTTACTACGTAAGTAGTGACGTTTTCCCTATTACATCTCTGCCCCCACTCATCCTTGAAGATGCAGTTCGGCTGTGAAGTCAGCTTGCTGTGAAGTCAGCTTGCTGTGAAGTCAGCTTGCTGTGAAGTCAGCTTGCTGTGAAGTCAGCTTGCTGTGAAGTCAGCTTGCTGTGAAGTCAGCTTGCGCTTGGCCACAGAGGAAGCTGCATTGTATTAATATAAAGGGTACTTTGGAGACAAAACAGAGTTGCATTTGATTTTCAGCTTTGCTATTAAGGTACTTAACCTCTTTAAACCTAAGTTTTCTCACCATTGTTCACTATATCCTTAGATATATCTACACCATGGACATGTCTATGGATTGTTTTTAAAATTCTACTTGTTGCTGGAATTTCAAGAAATGGACTTCAAGATGATACTACCCAGGATTGTTGGAATATTCATTGAAACCATGTATATTTTTCAAAAAACAGAATGTAAGAAATCTTGCCTGACATATAAGGGGAACTCAACAAATGCAGTCTCCAAGAGGACAGGAACTTTGTTTTGTGTACTGTTGTATTAGTGCCTTGGACATAGCAGAAACTCAACAAATAATGCTCATGTGTTTCCCTTCCTTCCTCTGCCTACTTTGTTAATAAAATATATTTCATATCAACTATCATTGTATCATGCATAAATATTCTTCACGTCTCTTAAATTTGTGTGACTTTCCATTATACTTAGAAATTTACTGTCTTCTTACGAAAAGTATTTCCATCTCTCAACAAAGTTAATGATCTGCACAGCTGTGTCAAGAAGATGTAGTAATGTTCAATGTAGGAAGATGAACAATTTGAAAAACACACACACATTCCCTGATTTCATTCGTGTCACATATGGACTCATGGCTTTCAAACACTCAAACATAACATGAAAACCATTACCTTCGCATTCGAGCTACCTGAAGTTTTTGTTTTTTTCCTTACAGGGAACCACCGCAAGCACAGATTTGAAATAAAATTGAGGGCAGTAGTATCAGGAAAAAAATCGTTGGGAATGTGTTGGAGAGAGTAAGGGTCCAGCAGGCAGCTGCGTTCTGGCTGGACTTGCAGTCCTACCTCCGTGGCCCCAAACTCGGGGGTGATTTAGAGCAACGCCTTTGGGCCTTACTGTTTTAGACTATGGGGGTGCACTCCATCGGTGGTTTTCCCCCATTATTTTAACCACAGTCTCCTTTCTTTCAGAGAAGTGCTCCGTGTGAATCTCGAGCTGGGTGGGAGGAGAAAAAAGAAAACCAAAGCCAATCTGGTCTCCTTGCATCTCGAAAAAGGTCACACGATCCGTCGCTTTGCCGCCGCTCTCCGGAGTCCCGGGCCACGACCTCGCATTCAGAAGTCACGTTCAGCATCTAAAGGTAGCGGTCCTCGAGTCCACTCCCCGCTGGAGTGAAGAGAACAACGGGGAGGACGCCTTCCCAGAGCAGCTGCCGCCGGTCCCTGTCCCCGGCTCGCTTCAAGCTCTGCAGCTGCTGGGGCATTTCTGATGAGGGCCCTGGGAGGTACACTCTGAAACATTCCGCCCCTTGCTAGTATTTACTCACTGTCTTCCAACCTTTTTGCTGTGGAATGCGTGCTCCATGCTCCCTGTCCCCATCTTGGGAGGAGGCAGGAACCGAGATGAAGGAGGAGCGCAGAAGCAAACACTTTATGTGCCCAACTGGAACTGTTCGCTTTGGTCAACCAACACTGATTGCTCATTCCTCTGTGTTCCCTCTTAAACAGCTTCTGAAAATTGCTCGAGAGGGGCGGAGTCAGGAAG
The DNA here is from genome assembly GCF_000001405.40 of Homo sapiens. Lineage (NCBI taxonomy): Eukaryota > Metazoa > Chordata > Mammalia > Primates > Hominidae > Homo > Homo sapiens. Next base: position 57,061,608 of record NC_000024.10, read on the forward strand.
CCAAGAGCGTGGGAGGCAAATCTCAGCCCCCTCGCTGTCTGTGAGGCTAGAAGCCTCGGTTTTCCTTATCTGGAAAAGGGGGTTGCTGATAATAATAATTACTTCACACCATTACTGCGATGATTAAATGCAGTAATATATATCTATCTTAGAATACTGTTTGGTACTGAGGAGTGTTAGCCCTTGTCATTAGTATGCATTCTGTCAACAAACTGTAATTGAGCACAAGCTCTGTGCTACCCTGAGGAGATAAGAGTGGTGAACAAGACTAATAACGTTCCTGCCCATATGAAATGTATATCCTAATGATGGTAAATGAAAAATAAGCTAGTAAACAATAAAAACATAATTATTTTAATTATCATAAGAAAATAAAACAAGAAAATATGTACAGAGTGAACATGTGGCAAGTGGCTAATGAAAAGCCAGTGGTCATGGAAAGTCCATCTGAGGAGGGGCCTGAATAACAAGAAAGACATGCACACAGATCTGCAGGTTCAGCATTCAGTGCAGAGTAAACAGCTGACGCAAAAACTCAAAGGTGAGTGCATGCTTGGTCTGTTCCAAGGTGAAAATCATGCACTTATTACATGACAATGACTTAAAGATGTATTTCTATCCCTGCACATGTAGGGACAATTTATATGGGCATCTTCATTCTCGCCAAGAGTTGGAGAACGGGAAAGATATGGGAACCTGTCCCAGCTGTTTTCTCATTATTAAAGTGATTGATGACAAAGATCAGTATATGCGCAGAGAAACAGATCCAGCACCTTTCACCAACAGATAATTCGTTAAATGCTGAAGGATTTTTAGCCAAAATCCTGAACAACTGGAAATAAGCCAAGGCGGAAAAAAATCTAATGCCAAGTTACAGACCTTTTTCATGAGGACACCAGTTTTGTGGTTTACCATTCCATTAGAGTATGCATTCTTTTTTAAAAACATTTATTTAATTTTTAAATTTTAGATTCAAGTGGTATGTGTGCAGGTTTGTTACAAGGGTATATTGCATAATGCTGACTTTGAGCTCCTAGTGAACCCATTGCCCAAATAGTGAACATAGTACCCAATAAGGTAGTTTTTCAGGGGAAAGAAACTGCTCTATTAAAAAGAAACCTTGCACTCATATGTTTATTGCAGCACTATTCACAATAGTAAAGTCATAGAATCAACCTAAGTGCCTATCAACGGTGGAGTGGATACAGAAAATGTGGAACATATACACCATGGAATATTAGGCAGTCATAATAAAGAATGAAATCATGTCCTTGGCAGCAACATGGATGCAGCTGGAGGCCATTATTCTAAGTGAATTAACATAGAAATAGAAAACATAGGCCATTATTCTAAGTGAATTAGCAAAGAAAGTGAAATTAACATAGAAATAATTTCTATGTTAATAGGAATTAACATAGAAATAGAAAATCAAATACTACATGTTCTCACTTATAAGTGAGAGCTAAACAGTGGGTATACATGGACATTAAGATTGAAATAAGAGTATGGATTATTAATATCAATCAAAGAAGAGAACCAACAGATGGGAATACCCTCATTTTATGCTTAGAACTTTGAACTGGAATTGTTCTTAATTTTCCATCAAAATTTTAAGAGAAGATAATTTAAAAAACTGTGCTGTCCTTCAGTTTCATCATTTTATGTCTTAAAACTAATCACTCAATATCTGATAGCAACAGTATCTATCTCAAAGTCATTAGTATACCTTGGTTATTAAGATAATTCAAATTAGCCCTTCCAGTGAAGTTGACATCATCTTTGCTATTTTTAGAAACTTTGAAACTTAAGAAAATGAGTTGCTTCTTCACTGCTACACTTCCACTTTCTGCACCAAGCCTTGGGCTTGCCCTTAGGCTTTCCTTTTTAGAATGTTCGTTTTCTGTGAAGCAGGCCTTTTCTGTTACTCTCCATGCAATGCGTTAGTTGTGGCTTTAAAGAGAAAAATTAGCTCCCAGTTTCTCCAGAGCTACAAGTTACTCGGTAAGAAAGAGAAGTCAAAAAGTGAAATAGTCTCAGAATTTGGAGTTTCTATATGAATATTCCATAGGTTTCTTAAATATTAGGAAAAGATAAAAAGACAAGCAGCCAGGGGAGGTGAAATTGGTAACAGAATGAGAGGAGCAAAACATGCTAACTTAGTAAATAAAACACTTGAATAACTTTGCCACATCAGAGCAGGTATTTCTATATCTGCATGCTCACGAGTTTTTAGAAAAGGCTAATGAAACTGCTCTCCAGATGGGAGTTGATGTCAAGTCTTATGGCAAGTGACAATGCTTTTGGCATTATCACAATATCATGTCACTTCACCTAAAAGGTGAAGAATCTACAATAACTCTGTTTGCTGAAGATCTTGAAAGTAGGAAGTGAAATCTGAATAGAGATACCCATGGGGCACATCTACTACACCTCTGTAATCTGCAACCAAACCAGAGGCATTCTCTGACAGAAAAATATTTCTTTGGACAAAAATAAATATATAAAGAGAGTTGGGTCATCAGCCTTCTTTTGCCAGAGTGCTGAGAAGAACAAGAAATTTAAATAATCTATATGAAGAATTTAAAATTTCCTTTATATACACAATTTAACTGTGTGCATATAAAATTAACAAAAATGCACTGATATCTAGCAGGTTGTTTAGGGAATGGCTCCTATAATTAGAGAGAAAAACGGCTTGCCAGAACGTGAACACTCTATTACCAATAGCTGCACATAGTCATTGAAGGTTTAAATCAAACACATCTGTGGCCTTTAAAAAAATTTTTTGCCTGCCAGCACCATGGCTACAAGCAGCTATTAAACTGAGATATAATAAATAATCAAAATGTGGATGCTGGAAGTGCTTGACACATTATGAGAAGCAGTGTTCCTATCACAGATATAAAGAAATGGCATGTTCTTGATGTAATGAGAAATCTTACTACTATGTGGAACACAGACACCTCGGAAGTAATTAGCTGGGGATGGTGGCACGTGCCTGTAGTCCCAGCTACTAGGAAGGTTGAGGCGGGAAGATCGCTTGAGCCCAGGAGTTCAAGGCTGCAGTGAGCTGTGATCGTGCCACTGCACTCCAGCCTAGGCAACAGAGCCAGACCTCATCTCAAAAAAAAAGAAAAAAAGAAAAAAAATAATTATTCACAACTGCTTTGCAAAAGTTCATGTTAGAACCACAGATGGCTCAGATGAACAAAGGAAGATATGTGACGACTCTAACTGGAATAAGCTGCAACCAAAAATATGTCCCATACTCAAATGTCAATTATTTTATAGCTATTGATAATGTGTTAGTTCCCTCTACGGATTGTGAATTTCAAAAGAGAACAGGTATCCTTGATGTAGGTCTGTTTTCAGCATAGTATAAGAGGAAGAAAAGTTGCCTAAGTCCAAACATCCAGGAGAAAAGAAGCATGAACAGCAATGGCAATCAGTGATACACTGCAATCATGTGATTTTGATTCAAAAGCAACAGAATCACTAGATTTGTTTGTAAACCACAAAATAACACATCACGTGAAGCTGGAAGCCATTATCCTCACCAAACTAATGCAGGAACAGAAAATCAAACACTGCATGTTCTCACTTGTAAGTGGGAGCTAAACAATGCGAACACATAGACACAGGGAAGAGAACAACACACACTGGGGCCTGTCGGGGTGGGGTTGGGGGAGGGAGAGCATCAGGAAAAATAGCTAATGCATGCTGGGCTTTAATACCTAGGTGATGGGTTGATAGGTGCAGCAAATTACCATGGCACACATTTACCTGTATAACAAACCTGCACATCCTACACATGTACCCCAGAACTTATAATAAAATAAAAATAAGTAGGATAGAGGACAAACTGCTAAATCTAAGATGCATATTTGCAGCACTGCCTAGCATAGTAATAATTTAGAACATCTGGCAGCCCTTTAAAAGTCAACAGACTGCTTTCATCTCTGTTATCTCATCTGATCGTGCTAGGGCTTGGTGGATAGAATTATCTCCATTTTACAGGGGAGAAAACTAAGGCTCCAAGATTTAGTAACTTACTTCAGTCCCATCAAGGGAGAACTGGATCAGATTCCTGATCCAATTGCCAGGAGGCAAACCCTGATCCAATTGCCAGGATCCAATCTTGATCCAATTGCCAGGAGGCAAATATTTCTGCTGTCCCACTGGAATATAGGGCTTTCCTGGCCTGCCCTTCTAGGGTCTGCATTTGCCAGCCCTAGGATGAACACTTATACAGGAGCTATTTCTAAATGTCTAGATAGCCATGTTTATCAGTGCCCCACCATTCACTATGGTAACCCTAGATGCTGAAAATAACCATATTAAGGAAATTAGCCTGTGTACATTCACTCTCGTCATCATCTTGGTTTTGGTGGGTTTTGGCTGGCTTCTTTACTGCAGTCTGTTTTATCAGCAAGATCTTTATGACCTGTATCTTGTGCTGACCTCCTATCTCATCCTGCGACTTAGAATGCCTTAACTGTCTGGGAATGCAGCCCAGTAGGTCTCAGCCTTATTTTACCCAGCTCCTATTCAAGACAAAGTTGTTCTGGTTCACATACCTCTGACAGGGAGGCCTCAGGAAACTTACAATCATGGTGGAAGGCAAACGGGAAGCAGGCACATCTTACATGGCCAGATAATTACACTACAAATTTTAGGGTATAAATAAGATTACTTTAGGAGAGAATATGGAGTAAGAGGGGGCTTTGCTAGAGTCCTGAAAGCTCTAAAGAGAGGCGATATTTAGAGTTCACACAGCTTAGTAACTCAGATCTCTCTGACTCTAAAACTCATTCTTTTTCTAGGATACTATGCTGCCTCTTAAAGAATAGATATTGAATACAATATAATTAAGTTGATATTAATACCAAATGCGAACCTTTGCAAAGGGGAGATAAAGCAAGGGGAATGATTAAGATCACCAGGAAGAGTGTGAAGAGTAAGAAGAGAAGATGGCATAGGGCAGAACCCTATGGAATGTGAACATTTCTAAAGAAAATGAAGAGCTGCCACAGAGGTGGGAGGAGAACCAGCAGGGTGTAGTTCTTGGAAAGAGCTAACAGAATAAAGGGGTTCAAAAAGGAGGGAATAAGGGCCGTGTGTGGTGGCTCATGCCTGTAATCCCAATACTTTGGAAGACTGAGGCGGGTCGATTATGAGGTCAGGAGTTCGAGACCAGCCTGGCCAATATGGTGAAACCCCGTCTCTACTAAAAATATAAAAAATTAGCTGCCTGTGGTGGCGCACGCCTGTAGTCCCAACTGCTTGGGAGACTGAGGCAGGAGAATCGCTTGAACCCGGGAGACGGAGCTGGCAGTGAGCCGAGATCGCGGCACTGCACTCCAGCCTGGGCAACAGAGTGAGATTCCATCTCAAAAAAAAAAAAAAAAAAAAAAGGAATAATGAAACTAAAGTCCTGCAGAGTTGAAATACGGTAATGGCTTAAAAGTATCTATTTGTTTTAGCAACACTGTTGAGAATTCTGTCTGTAAAGGAGAGGTGAGAGAAAGACCACTAGCTTATCTGTGTTTGGTCTGTGTTTGATGAGGGGGCTTGGGGTATGGGGTTAAGAAAGGTGACTTTGGAATGTTTTAGATGAGAGAAATTTTGACAGCCTTTAAGTCCTGATAGTAAAGAGCGAGTTAGCAGAGAGCCGTTGAGGAGTCATGCAACGGAAGGGTTCATCAGAGGAGCTTGACTCTGAGTCGGCAACAGGGAATAGAGATGGAAGAGGGCTGGCTTAGATCAAAGGAGAGTAGTCGTTTATTATTATTATTATTGCAAAAAGAATAGGAGAAAGGATTGGTGAGGGGTACAAGAAAATTAGAAAATTTCATGGCGAAAGTAGAGGCAGTTCCTGTCAGATGAATTCTATTTTGTCTGTGAGGAAACGGGCGACGCTGCCTACTGAGACTAAGCAGGAGAGACGGGGCAAGCTTGGCTCTTCATTTATGCCGCCTACTCATTGCTGGTAGATTCTTTATCTAGCCTGCATCCTCTCATTTTCCTGGATCCCTATACGGCATTTGACGCTGTTTACCACAAGAGCTGTCGAACGAACGTGAAACACTCAGTGATACTCCAACCGGAACTACTACTCCCAGAATGCAGTACGGCTCCTGGGAAGTGCGGGGGGCTGGGAACGCAGCAGGCCTAGCCGTGTCGCCTGCTGCCATTGGAGGAGCGCTCCCACTCCCAAGAGGCCACGCGTAGACGGGGCGCTTCATGCGGAAGTCAGCGGCGTCCGGTCCCAGCCTCCTCTGGGAGCGGGCAGTTGGCGACCCTGCACTGACCCGCGTCCCTCCGTCCCGAGCCCGCGCGCCCTCAGAGGGTGCCCGGACAGGTAAATGGAGTGGGGTGCGCCTGCGGGAGGCGGGGAGAGAACTGCGGAGGGAGGGCGGAGGTGTCGATGGAAAGGTGCTGGGGTGGAGCGAGGAGGCAGTGCAGGGGTGACTTGGGCTTCTCTGGTGTCGACAGTTCCAGTTGTCGGGCAGGACCAGTTTTGGCGAGGTGCGTCTTATGCCACTGGAAAGGCCTCGAGTTAAAGAGTGTCAGAATGCGTCACTTAAGCTGTCATTACAGGAGGGAAAAAATGTTAACTTTCTCTCAGTTTGTATTCTACAAGACCTTTCTGTAGCATTTAAATCTCTTGAGATCGCCAGAGTCTTCTAAAAACTCTCTACGTCCTTGTTCGATGACGTCACTTTCTGCTTCACCTTCTACTTCTGGCTGTTTATGCTCCTTCGTGGGTTCCTAGCCCCTTATTCGCCCTTCCTCCACTGCTCAGTATTGACAGTCCCCTTCTTCCTCTGTTCAGGGACTGTATTTCTGCCTAGACCCGTTTCCTCAGCTTCAGACCTGTTTGGTGTTTTTATTAATGGCCAATGTTTATCAAATTCTGACTGCGTACTTTGGTAAATGCTTTACATCTCCGTCTCCCATAACTCTCACAACCAACCAACTGTCTTCATTTGGCCTCATTAATTGCTTTCAACTACCTGTATCTCCATTATCCCTCCCTTGATCCCAGAGGATACAGTCATGTTTAGGATATTAATTCCCTTTGAATACCTGTGGCTGAGAGCAGATCCATTCATACATTTAACAAATATTTATTGAACGGCTGGTATATGCTTGACACTCTTTTAAGTGCAGGGGATACAGCTGTAAACAAGACTTAGGAGGTTGCTACTCTCAGGAACTTACATGTTTGTGTCTAGAGGGGAAAACAGGAATAATCAGGATTATGTTATATATTGGTTAATGCAAAATAAAACAGGTGGTTGACTTGAAAGGATGGGATCCTATCCTAAGAAAGTCAGAGGTCAGGGCATCGTCCAGAAAGAATAGTTGTAATACCAACAGGAATAATCTTGATCTGTAACATGACTTTTCGTAAACACCTCTTCTTTTCCCCTGTCTAAGCAGTGTTTATTCTTCATTCTTCTATCTCCTCCAAGGTTATTGCATCAGAATTCATGGTTTATCTGTAGTTGGTTTATTCCTTCTAAGACCCAGAGAGAAGAGTGGGGGATTGGATTACTATTAGCTCAACTGCTTTATCTTACTTAGAAAGATAGTTTGGTTGTGAAAATATTATTCTTACCAGGTCCTTCTGAATATAAAGTTATCTACCATTTATAGTATATTTTAAAACCAAAATATGCTCAATGTTCACTCATTTATTCAACAGATATTTGAGGGAATATTAGATGGTAGGCACTGTGCTGAGCACTGGGAAAATAGGGTAAAATAGACACTTTGACCTCTCTTCCAAGGAGAAATAATCCTAACAGTATACTGAGGAAATTTCTAAGGCATAGGCTGACACCTGCATTCCTGTTCTTCATCCGAGGTGAGATCATCACAAAACATTAAGACATTTCCTGAGCAATTGCGGACATTCTTAGATTATTCACTTATTATACTTTATTGCATTTATTTATATCTGTCTTCCCCATTGTTCTATGGCTCCCTCAAGTATAGGAGTCCCTTCTTCCTTAACTTTATACCTCTAGTGTCTACTTTGACTGTCATATAGTAACCCACCAGTATATACGTGTTGAACTGAAATAGACTCCCTATTTGATCAAATTTAAATGACATGATTTATACAAGGCCTTCTTTATGTAAGGCCATCAGCCGTATTCCTCAACCTTCTCATTCACCAAAGGTGGACCATTCCATCTTATCAGGCTAGCTTATGTACCTTCTTTACCTTGCTCTCAGTGCCTTCTCTTCTTCCATCCATCCCTCCTAAAAGGATCTCCCATCTCTTCCCAAGCACCTTGTGTACCTCCCTCCATTAATTTGGTGGGCCAGTTAATTTAATAATCTGCTCATGATACAGGGGTGGAAAAAAATTAATTTCCTTTTTATATTTCCTATGAAACATTCTGCCAATGAACTCTTGCAAGAATTAATGTAATAGATCCTACTGCAATAATATAATGATACAGAATACTTTTTAAAGATTTTGCATTGACTATCACCATGTGCTATGTAATGAGTTAATTCTACTACTTTATTTGAACAGTTGTATAACCTCTGTTCACACAGCATGTTTTGGTATCATTTGGTTTCTACTTGGTAGAAACACATCTTTTTTTTTTTTTTTTTTTTTGAGACGGAGTCTCACTCCGTTGCCTGGGCTGGAGTGCAGCGGCGCGATCTCGGCTCACTGCAACCTCCGCCTCCCAGGTTCAAGCAATTCTCCTGCCTCAGCCCCCTGAGTAGCTGGGATTACAGGTGCACACCACCACGCCTGACTAATTTTTTTTTGTATTTTTAGTAGAGACGGGATTTCACCATTTTTGGTCAGGCTGGTCTCGAACTCCTGACCTCAGGTGATCCACCTCGGCCTCCCAAAGTGCTGGGATTACAGGCATGAGCCACCATGCCCGGCCAAGAAACACATCTTTGAGTATTACTTTCTCAGCCTGAGGTAATTTAAGTGGTAATGTTATTCTGCCACATTGTCATTTTCAGGATGTCAGATAAAAGCCTCAAGTATTAAAATTAAACTTTTTTTTTTCTTTTGAGACAGAGTTTTGCTCTTGTTACCCAGGCTGGAGTGCAATGGCATGATCTTGGCTCACCTCAGCCTCCACTTCCCGGGTTCAAGCGATTCTCCTGCCTCAGCCTCCCAAGTAGCTGGAATTACAGGCGTGCGCCACCACGCCTGGCTAATTTTGTATTTTTAGTAGAAACGGGGTTTCTCCATGTTGGTCAGGCTGGTCTCGAACTCCTGACCTTGGGTGATCCGCCCGCCTCAGCCTCCCAAAGTGCTGGGATTACAGGCATGAACCACTGCGCCCAGCCAAAATTAAAGTCTTATTCCATGCAGGTATCTTTCAATTGTAAATCATTACTGCAAAAGACAAATTTTGTCTTTATAACTGATTAAAAACAACAGCAGTACAAGAGTGCTTGAGTCATGACTGTCGTGAATTTAGGATGTGCCAACCTAAGATCAGCCAGATACTTCTAAGATGTAAACATTAAGCATTGTTATTTTAGGTGATTTATTGACACCTATTTCTTTATAGACAGGAATGCAAGTGCAGCACTGAATTGTGTGCCATTGCTCGTTTATAAGATACACATGTAGATGATCCAGAATATTCTTATACATTTTTCAGTGTTATCAAAATACAAATGCAGAATTAAAAGATTTCTCAAAACACATGGACTTGGCCTTTCCCCTTACTCAGTTACCTGAAACTGTCTTCAGCCTCTACTTGAAGATGCTTCTGCTGAGGAGGAGCATTTTCATCATTGCTGTTCTATGTTATTACCAAATTTTTTAATACAGGCAATTTCTTACTTACAAATGGATATATTCTAAAAGTACTGTTGTAAGCTTATTGTTTGGAACGCTGGATGCATTTCCTTCTATAAATAATGCTATCCATGACATTTACACTGTTATGCCAACCAGTATCATTTTATTAACTTTTAATTTAGTGGACTCGAAGACCTTCCCCACAATTTACAATAATTCCTCTATTAAAAAACTGCATTTATAATTCTCATTTGAATTCCCTTATAGCATATCTTTTTTTAGAAACCCAACAACTAGAACAAAAATATCCTTTCTTTAGTCCCTTAACATAGTAAAAACAGGCTTTTCTAACTCCAAACTGTTGTGGGTGACCCTTCTAGCCCTTAGCTCTAAGGACAGTCCTCCAATATGAGCAAGGAAAACGAAGGGACAGAGGTTTTAGAGAGGGAGGCAAGTTGGGTGATATGAGTATCTGGAAAGGGAAGGGTAGGATTTATTTGGGATGAACAGTGAGTTTCTAAAATGGAAGTTTGCATTGCTTGTCAGCCTTTTGGCTAAGATCAGGTGTAGTATCAGTTTAAAATGGGGGTTTGTTGTGGGTTGAATTGTGTCCTCCAGAAAGCTGTGTTGAAGTCCTAACCCGTGGTACCTGTGAATGGGATCTTATTTAGAAATAGGATCTTTGCAGATGTAATTAAGATGTAATTGAAAATGGGGTCATACTGGAGTAGAGTGGGCCCTTTATCCAATATGACTGGCATCCATATAAAAGAAGAGAGACAGAGAGAATGCAGTGTGAAGACACAGATACAGAGAACACCATGTGACTACAGAGGTAAAGATTGAAGTGCTGCACCTCCAAGCCAAGGAACACCAAGGATTGCCACCAAACTATCAGAAGCTAGAAAGAGATAAGGAAAGATTCTCTTCTACAGGTTTCAGAGGGAGCATAACCCTGCCAACATCTTGATTTTGGACTTTTAACCCTCAGAACTGGTAGGCGATACATTTCTGTTGTTTTAAGCAACCAAGTTTTTGGTACTTTATTACTGCAGCTACAAGAAACTAATACAGGATTCTTAGCAGGAATAAAGTAGAATTGGGATGGTGGCTGTGGGACCAAGTGGGGAGTGAATAGGAGAACAAAGAGGAACAGTGTTGATATGGGGCTTTCCTTTATGTTGCATTATCTTTTTTTCTTCCCTTCTCTCTCTGGCTTATCTTTTCATTCTTTTTCTTCTTGGATCTTATCTTTATATAGCACTTTATGGTTTATTAGGCATTTACATACTGCTAATAATTAGCAGAGCCAGGTTTTCTAACTTCAAGTGCAGTGTTCATTGTGCCACAATTGTTTCTGTTATCCCAATACTCATCAAGACGTTATGGATTCTATTACAAGACACTTACAATGGGGGCAGGTAAGACTTCATAGGTGGGATTTTTAGCAGTATAGCAGAGAGGAAGGAATTCCTATTAGTGACATCTGGAAGGAAAGTAAAGTTTCTGTTGCTATGTACCCACTGTTTAACAGTCATTTTTAAGTTGGGGACTGCTTTTATTGGAAGAAACACTACTTGCGTATAACTTATATTCATTGTTCCTAGTTATATTCTGAATAATGTGCTCCCTGTTCCAGGTGACTGTACTTTATATAAACTCAAAAACTATTGTCATGTTCCCTCTAAGTCCTCTCTTTCTCATGTTACATATCTCTAGTTCCTCCAGCCAGTCTTCAGATGACACAATCTCCATGTCTCTCACCCATATTGTATTGCCTCCCTTTTGTCTAGTCGTTAAATATTCTACCCAGAATTGAATTCAGTATTTTACATATGTTCTAACCAGCACAGAGTGTAATGGGACTAGTACTTAAACAGGTCAAGACACCCTATTTCTTAATGTACTTTGAGATTATGTAAGCATTTTTAAGCAATATCGCATACCGTTGGTTCATAATGAACTTACAGTCCACTGAAACACTAGATCTTTTTGTATTAATTGTTGCCAAGGTCAAGTTTCCTTCTGAACCTGCACAGGGACTGAGGCTGCTGCTACTTTTTCATCTCTCTGTTCCAGGGACCATATGATTTCTTATCTCTGTTTCTCTTTGTGTTTTTGTTCCTCTCTACTGTGTCTCTTTGACCCTAAGCAATGACCTCCTTCCTTGTTATAAAATTTCACTGATTGTTTTACAGTCTTCATTCTCTTTCTTTCCTTTCGGCTTCTGGGCCACCACACTTTTGGCTTTCCCATTTGGTCCTCCTCAGTCTTTGTGAGTCTCTATTTATCTACCTTTCCCTCAACTGTTGGTTGTGCTTTGGGTTTTATCTTTGGCACTATTTTTTTTTTCTGTATGCAATATATCTTCAGCAAATAAATCATGTTTAAAATGGCAGATCTAACTGAGCTCATCTGGGAATAAAAGGGCACAGAATCAGTCCCGGAGGAAAGTCGACATTTAGAGGTCAGGTAGAGGAGGAAGAGTCAGCAAGAAGACAAAAAGAGCAGCCAGAGATGTAGGAGCATTTCAAGAAGGAGGGTCGGTCAGCAGTGTTGACTGTGCCTAAGAGGTCAAGTAAGGTAAGAATAGAGAAGCAACCACTGTATTTTGCAATATAGAGGCTGTTGGTGACCTTAGGAAGCATGGTTTTCTGGAGTTTTAAGGGCAAAAGCTGGATTATAGTAAGTAGAAGAGTTGAAAGGAGGCAGAGGAGCAGAGATAATGCGTAACGATGCTTTGAAGAAACAGAACAGGGCCAGGTACGGTGGCTCATGCCTGTAATCCCAGCACTTTGGGAGGCCAAGGCAGGTGGATCACTTGAGCCCGGGAGTTCAAGACCAGCCTGGGTGACATGGTGAAACCCTGTCTGTACAAAAAAAAATACAAAAATAGCCGGACATGGTGGCACACACCTGTAGTCCCAGATACTCCAGAGGCTGAGGTAGGAGGATCACTTGAGCCTGATAAGTGGAGGCTGTAGTGAGCCAAGATTGTGCCACTGCACTCTAGCCTGGAGCTTGGGTGACAGAGCAAGACCCTGTCTCAAAAAAAAAAAAAAAAGAAAAGAAACAGAACAGTAGGATCCACAGTTAGGGAGGCTTTAGGATCAAGGGAGATAAAGTATAAGACAGCAATTTGGAAACTATAACTTACTGCATATGTGTAAGGAGAATTCTAGAAAGAAGATGGTTGAGATCACAACCCTGGGGAACAACTTCAGTTAGAGAGTAGGAATGAAAAAGAGATCCCCAAAAGGCATTCAGCCCAAGAGACAGATGAGCACCTTCTGCTCTGTGTGCTGTCCTTCCATGCTGGGATTGCAATAAGGAATCTGCACATTCCTTGATCTCAAACAGTTTATAGTTTGCTGTTGTGTTTCACAAAGTATGTTTGTGTGAATCACCTGCATCCAGACAGACTTGTATTAAATACAGATTCCAGGGCCCTACCTCAGGCCTACGGAATCAGAATTTCAGGAAGTGATGCCAAGAGTTTGAATTTTTAGCAAATGACTCATACTCTGCCACACAAGATGATTCGTATTCCCACTACAGTTTGAGAACCACTGGTATGTTGGGTACTGAGCATGTTAACAAATAAGAGTAGGTTTAACAGTTAATCGAAGACTAGACAAGGATTTGTTCATCTCTTTTTATGTTTATGCCATTAAATAAGAGAAGCTGGGCTTGTTAGGTGGGAAATAATAGCACATATTCATAGGCAGACATAAGGAAAATAATCTTAAACTCATGCCATATGGTTTTAGTAATGTTTTGTTTATGAAGGGTCTTACCATTCCTTTCTTGTGGAAGCTTTGAGTTATTTTCACTTTGTTTCTGTTATGGATAATGCCTTTATACTGGCAGTGTACAGTAAAAGGCTAAGATTATGAGCTCTAGAACCATACTGCCTAGGTTTAAATTGCAGCTCCACACTTACTAGCTCTGTAATTTGGGGGAAATTATTTAAGTCATCTGTGCTTCAGTTTTCTCATCTATAATAGAAGTATCATAATAGTGTATAATCTCATTGAGTTGTGAGGATTAAATGGATTAATAATTATAAAGTATTTAAAATGGTACCTGGCACATAGTAAACAATAAATATAGGCTATTTTTATTGTTAATAGTTATCTTTGTGAATCTAGAGTCTTAACTTCTGTTGAACTATTTCTCTAGGATAAATTTTCAGGATGGAATTTCTACATTAAAGAATGAAGACATCTTTATGTCCCTTTGCTATCTATAGTCATTGCTTTTCAAAAGGGTGATATCTGTTTGTGCTATAATAATTTGTAAATGCAAGCTATCAATGGTGTGTGTGTGTGTGTATGTGTTTTGTATGTCTCTTTATATGAATGCATACAAGCATGGCTTAGGTTGTAAGTTTGTAGAAAACTTTGACCTTCTTTTTAAGCCTGCTCTTAAGTCTGTTGTTAAGTTTCATGTTATAGTGCCTCGTTAGATACTATCTCCAGGTAGTATGTTGATAAATGATAGTAAGTTACCTTTGAAAGATTATGTCAAAGAAATATTCTAAATCTGTGTCTTTTTCCTTTTGATAGACTGAAGCCATGGCGATTCTTTTTGCTGTTGTTGCCAGGGGGACCACTATCCTTGCCAAACATGCTTGGTGTGGAGGAAACTTCCTGGAGGTGACAGAGCAGATTCTGGCTAAGATACCTTCTGAAAATAACAAACTAACGTACTCACATGGCAAGTGAGTTCTGTTCTGCATGTGGTAAGGGATGAAAGAAGGGAATTCTGTTACTCTAATCAGAACGGTAGAAAAGTAGAAAACAAGCTTCTAGGTACATAATTTGAATAAGCTGACAGAATAGTAACCTTCACCAACTTAGAAAATATATCTGGTTTTGTTACTTATAAATTTAACTTGTAATTATTTTATTCTATTATTGAAGTGATATTTTATTTTGAAGAAAGATGAAATGTTAAATGTAAAAATGACTTTGCTCTAGAGCTGTGTGATATGTGAAAATAATTCAGATAAGATAGATAATGTTCCTTTGTTCATTCTTTCAGTAAATATTTACTGAGCACTTAACTATTGCCAGGCACTTTGCTTGGTGCTGGGGATATAACAAGATATGTGGTATTTGCCCTCATAAGGGTTATAGTTTAATGAGGGAGAAAGTCAAATCCACGATGTCAAGGGTTGGGGGGATGGGAAGTAGTAGATAGGAGAATGGTATTCCAAGTAGAAGGAACAGCAGGTAGAGAAGTATGGAGGCATGAGATCATAGGGCGGGCATATTTAGGGAACTGCAGACTGTTCTCTGTGACTGGTGCCCAGGATGGTGAAAATAAAGCTAGAGAGATGGGTAGAAGAAAAGTCATGTAGGGCCTTGTAGGCCATATTAAGAGCTTGGACTTTACCTTGTGGGCAGTGGAAAGGCATTGAAGGTTTTCAGCCAGGGTGTGACAGAGTCAGGTTTGTTTTATTTATTTATTTATTTATTTATTTAGAAACAGAGTCTCACTCTGTCACCCAGGCTGGAGTGCAGTGGTGCGATCTTGGCTCACTGCAACCTCCATCTCCCAGGTTCAGATGATTCTCGTGCCTTAGCCTCCTGAGTAGCTGGGATTACAGGCGTGCACCACCATGCCCAGCTAATTTTTGTATTTTTAGTAGAGTTGGGGTTTCACCATGTTGGCCAGGCTTGTCTCAAGCTCCTGACCTCAGGTGATTCGCCTGCCTTGGCCTCCCAAAGCGTTGGGATTACAGGCGTGAGCCACTGCCCCTGGCCCTTCAGTCAGTTTTTGCTTTAGAAAGATCACTCTGGTGGCTTATTAGAGTGGCCATAGTTGGGAAATCTTAGTAATTAGTTTTAAAAAGTGCCTCAACCTTCCCCGTTGGCACTTAAAAATCTTTTCTTACTTAACCCAGCCTTACTTCCTTAGTTCTTATCTCAGAATGAGGTCCTTATTACTTTCTATGGCTAACCCCTTATACAGTTTAAGGTGTACTCTAAGCTACTATGAGAGAGACCCCCAAGATACAGTATTAATTTTAATGAGATAGTCCAGAGATGAGTGGTTTGGGATGTTGGGGTGGCTCTGCCATTTCCAATTCCCTAATTCCCAAAGCAATTAGTGCTTTCCACTTCTGGCCAAGGCAGCTCCTTTGGTGCTTGTTATATCCCAGTGCTTGCCCAGTAATTTTAAAGGCAGGGCCCAGAAGTGGCCTGATATTGTTGAGAAGCTTCCACTTACATCTTACTGTTCACTACACAGTCATGTAGCTAGCATAGCTAGAAGGGAGGCCAGGAATTGTCATCTCTGGCTATGTAGTCGTAGGCTCAACTAAAACTCTGTTACTCTGGAGGAAGTTATAGGATATCAGGGGATGACTTGCAGTCTTCCAGTCTACTCTCCTGGCCACCCAGATATTTCAGTGAACCTTTCTTCCCAAACATAGAATACGCCTCTTCTCTGAGAGAGGTAGCTCCAAAGACCTATCTAGTCACTGTGTTTGGCTCCAAGTCCAGCATGTCTAGGTGGTACACAGTCCTATCCATCAGGCCCTGGTGTGGCTCCTGTGGTCCACTGACCATAAAGTAAAAGATAAGTCATATGTTTTCCCTGCTTTCCCAGCCTAACCCAGTAGACAATGGTGAAATAAGAAAAGGATCATCACAGTGAGAGTTACAAACTCCCATTTGGAAAAGGGAAGAATGAGAAACATGTAGAAGTCATTGCTTTCCAGTAATGATCAAATAATTGCCTCACACAATTTCAAAGACTCCCTATTCTGACCAGGAAGTGGTTAGTGGTTCTGCTTTCTTGGAGGAACTCCCTCACCCTTTTTCCCTGACTCCTGGCTTTGTTCTCCAGGAAGTTTTTCCTTTCTGGCCACATCCAAAATGGTAGTTAGAGAGTATATCATCTTTGGGAATTGTACCCATTTTGTAGTCCTCTTGCTGCCAGCGTAGGTTTGTGGGCCTAGAGGTTAGGGGTTAAATAATCTTAGCTTCTTATGATTTTGGCTTTATACTTTCTCTAAAAATGTATTAGACTTACAGTCTTTGTGTTTCTAGGCAGTTCCTGGGAAAATGTCCAGGGAAAGCACATGTAGTCGTCCTTTTAGAGGCAAGACTGGGAAATAGGGCATATATCTTCCACTCATGTATTATGAGCCAGAATTTAGTCACAGCCATATGTAGCTTTAAGAGAGTATAGAATATGTAATCCAATTAAAATGCAGTTATAGTAGAAGGAGATGTTATCTGTCTGCCATGCCTCTCTGCCTGTGTCTCTGATCTAGCTGTGTTATTTCGAGCTTTGGTACCTTTTTTTCATGCTTTTGTTATCTTCTAGGAATGCTGTTCTCCCCCTAAGCCTCCTTGTAAACTTTTGCTCACTTTACAGGTCCCAAGCGAAATACTTTCTTAATTTGTACTTTAATGCTTCTAAAAGGGCAGTTCTGATCATATTCCTTCCTTCAACAGATACTGTCTGCCCTCAAGGTAAAATTCCTTAACGGGACTTGGAATATTCTTCAAGATCTGCCACTTTTTCCTTCTGTGGGCTCATCTTTTACTACTTTAGTCCTCAGTTTTGCTTTCCAGCCATACTTCATACTTAGCCATTTACAATTCAATGCTAGGTTCTTTCTCTCTTCCTAGCCTTTGCAATAGCTGTTACCTTTTACTGGAATATATTTATCTACTTAATTTTTTAAAAATCTCACTTTGTGTGCCTGAGCTTAGATGTTTCCTTTTCCAGAAACCCCTGAACATTAACACTGAGTCAGGCACCGCAATCAGACACTCTTTTTATGTGTCTACATAGCATCTAGTTTGTTCATATTGTAACACTTTTCACACTGTATTATTATTATTATTATTATTATTATTGAGACGAAGTTTCGCTTTTGTTGCCCAGGCTGGAGTGCAATGGCGCAATCTCAGCTCACCGCAACCTCCACTTCCTGGGTTCAAGTGATTATCCTGCCTCAGCCTCCCGAGTAACTGGGATGACAGGCGTGTGCCACCACGCCTGGCTAATTTTTGTATTTTTAGTAGAGATGGGGTTTCACCATGTTGGCCAGGCAGGTCTCGAACTCCTGACCTCAGGCAATCCGCCCGCCTCGGCCTCCCAAAGTGCTGGGATTACAGGCATGAGCCACCGTGCCTGGCCTCAGACTGTATTATAATTGAAATGATTGTTTATTTCTGTACCCTGACTGTAGGCTTCTTGATGGCAGGGATCATACCTTGTTACCTTTTGTGGCCTGTGCACCAAGTGACTTACAAGTCTGGTTTAGGAGAAACAAATTTTATGGGGAAAGTGATGACTTTCATTCTGGGCATGTCATGTTTAAGCTGTCTATGGTATGTCCAGTTGGATATGTCTAGTAGACAGTAGTGTAGGTAGTCCTGGAGCTCAGGAGATAGGTCAGATGGAGATTTGGGAATCATTGGCATAATTGTGGTAGCTGAAAACAAACTACAACAAAACATGAGAGTGCATGCTGCCCTCCAGGGAGTAAGTAAGTGTGAAAAAAGCAGGAGGCTAAGGAAGCTAGAAAACGTTAGTGTAGAGGGAAAGGGACTATGATATAAACCAGGTATATTAGCCTGCTTGGGCTGCTATAACAAAATACCATAGACTGAGTGGCTTGAACAACAGATACTTGTTTCTCACAGTTCTGGAGACTGCGTGAGGTGCCCGCTAATTCAGTTCTTGATGAGGGCCTTCTTCCTGGCTGGCAGATGGCCACCTTCTTGCTGTGTTCTCAGGTGGTGGAAAGAGAGTGATCTTTTTCTTCCTCTTTTTTAAAGCCACTAATCCCATCACGAGGACCCCACCCTCATGACCTCATCTAATCTTAAGTGCCTCCCAAAGGCCTTGTCTCCAAATATAGTCACACTGTAACATATGAATTTTGAAAGGACACAGTTCAGTCTATAGCACCAGGCAAGCCTGATGTCAAGAAATCTAGTGAAGATAAAACACTTTCCAAAAGGAAGTGGTCAACACTATCATATGTTTCAGAGAGAGCCACTGGATATGGCAATGTGGAAGTCATTGGTGGAAATGGTGCAAATAGTTTTAGAGTATTGGAGGAAAAGATTTTGCCTGAGTTCCTGTATCTCCTTGTAATTCATGTCAGTCCTCTGTGAACATTAATATAATTCAACAGGTACCCCTATCTATCCACTTGCCCAAGGTACAAATGTGGGAGGCAAAATTTAGTTAACCTGTCTCACGCCAGTCACCAAGTTCTATAAATGCTGCCTCCTATCTCTTCTCTGTCCCTTTTTCTTTATTACCCATTCTACTTTAGTTTATTTCCCTCCTCATTTCTTACCCGGTATACTGCAGTAGTCTCCTGTCTGGTCCTCCTTTGAGTCAGTTTTCCGCACTCTAGCCAATGTGTCCTTTGTTTTTTTTTTTTTTTTTTTTTTAATGTGTCCTTTTTAAAGTGCAAATCTGATCACACCCTCCCTAGGCTAAAACTTTTGGATGTTTATTCATTATTCTTAGGATAATGCACAGTGTGGTTTATAAAGTCTTGTATAACCTGGTTTTTGCTTACTTCTCCAGTCTTGTCTGTCCAGATAATTCACTTTTTCTTCACATTCTGTACTCTAGTCATGTGAGCCAATTTTACTTTCCTAAATCTATTAGGTGCTGTTTTACCTCTAGGCCCTTATGCTTGCTGCTTCCTCTCTGGAAAAACTCTTTGCTCACTTTTTTTTGTTGTTGTTGTTTTTTGAAACAAGGTCTCACTTTGTTACCCAGGCTGGAGTGCAGTGGCGCAATCTCAGCTTACTACAGCCTCAACCTCCTGGGTTCCAGCGATCCTCCTGCCTCAGCCTCCCAAGTAGCTGGGACTATAGGCGTGTGCCACCACACCTGGCTAATTTTTGTATTTTGTGTACAGACGGGGTTTTGCCATGTTGCCCAGGCTGGTCTTGAACTCCTGAGCTCAAGCGATCTGCCCGCCTCAGCCTCCCAAAGTGCTAGGATTACAGGCATGAGCCAGCCACCACGCCTGGCCTTTCGCTCACTCTTTACCTTGCCATCTGTTACTTATTCTTCAGGTCTTAAATCAGACATCACTTGTTCTGGGAAGTCTTTCTGGTTACCCTTTGGCAAATCTCCATTTCGTGCCTCATCTATTAATGTGTCCCCAGAGCACCATGTACTGCCTTTAACTTTCCTGTCATCCTGTTTGCCATGCTGCACTGTAATTCCTTACACTGTGATCCCTATGAAGACTGGGACTTGGTGGTTTTGCTTTTTTGTATCCTCAGCATCCAGCACAGTAACTAACTCAAAGTGGATACTCAAATGTTGAGAATTTGGTAGAAAAGATGTTTGCTTTAAGAACTTAGGAAAAAGCAAAGAAAACCATATGGCCTATTGGGGGTTAATCTTAATTACATCCTCCTCCTAAGATGTCATCTCTTGTTCATGCTTTAAGAGTCCAATTATGCTTTTGCAGCTATCGTTCTAATGGGTAATACACATGCTGTTGTGCTATGTAGCTAGAATAGAGATCTTTTTATTTCTTATGTACTTCTATCAGTTTGACTTGAAAGAAACAGGTATATTGGGAAGGGGAAGAGGGAGAAGAGACTGTATCCGTAAGTAATATGGTGACATTGGCAGTACTGAACGTGCTTATACATAGATAGAAGATAGAAGTAAAAGTGATGTTGCTTATAACCACAGTAAGTTTTATATCTTTTATTCTACAGTTATTTGTTTCATTACATCTGCCAAGACAGGATTGTATATCTTTGTATCACTGATGATGTAAGTAACTTGAAGACATATTGCTATTTAACTATGTGTACTGTTAATACAGCCAGTTCTTAATTATCTATACCAGGGGTCCCCAACCCCCAGGCTGCAGACCGGTACAGGTCTGTGGCTTGTTAGGAACCAGGCCACATAGCAGGAGGTGAGTGGCCTATGAGCATTACCACCTGAGTTCTGCCTCCTGTCAGATCAGCAGCAGCATTAGATTCTCATATGAGTGTGAACCCTGTTGTGAACTCTGCATCCGAGGGATCTAAATTGCATGCTCCTTAGGAGAATCTAATGCCTGATGATCTGAGGTGGAACAGTTTAATCCCGAAACCATTCACCCTCCCCCAGTCCTTGGAAAAATTGTCTTCTACAAAACCGGTCCCTGGTGCCAAAAAGGTTGGGGACTGCTGATCTGTACCTATAGTGGGCAAACGTGATGCGAACTTTACATAGCTGGAATTGTTAATATTTTGCATTTGTCATATAGAGCAGCAAATGTTAAGAAAACTTGATACTGGGGTATGTGCAAATCAACTCAATTTTGGTAGAGTTTTAGCTTAGCCTCTTGCAACTTCTATATTTATTCTATTTTGTAGTGAGAATTGATGTTCATAATTATAATTCTTTGATATCAAAACCTCTCAAAAATTGTTTACGTGGAATGTTAAATTAGATAGCATCATTTCTTCTATCAGTAGTTAATGAATCCTTTAATGTATGTGAACTTTGGAAAAACAAAATTACAATACATTATGATCAGCTATATAAACCTGTAGTTTACATTGGTTAGGTATGACTGTTTGTCGGCTCTCAGCCCAAAATTCTCAGTAACTTAATGATGTCATTAAGGTCCTTTCTCTTCTCTGCTTATCTCCGTGTCTCCTTCTTCCCAGACAGGTTGCCATTATGGTTTCGTAGAGCTACATACTTATTTATTCATGTCCGGAGTAGAGGGACTGTGTCTTCTTGAGTGTCTTATTGTAGGAATGAGGAAGCTTTTCCCAGCTGCATGCCCTCCCCTCCCCCTGCTTTCAAAGTGAACTTCCTTTCATGTCTTATTGGCTGCATGCTCATTTCTAAACTGCCTACTGGCAAAGAGACTTGGAATTGGCATGGTTGCCATAGATCAGGGTTCCTAATCTTTATTGTATCACAGACTCGTCACTTGTGGGACACTCCCAGAATGTTTTTGTTTTCTTTTTTTAATTTTCCTTTTCCAGAATGCTTTTAAATGTATAAAACACACACAATTCTAACAAAGCCAATTATATTGAAATATATATATATATAGTATTCAAAATATTTTAAAAACTTGATGTAGTAATATATATGCTTCTTTATGAACTCATTAACAAGATCTAGTCATAGGTCTAATAACTAATAGTCTTGATGTGATGGGTGTTGACAGTATTTTGAGATATCTGTAACTGTGATGGTATACAAAAAAAGATTTCTGTTGGTGACAGTTACAGGTACTGTTTAATACTACCCCGATTATGAATATACAACCTATATTCACAATTGAAATATAAGTTAACGATTGATAAAAATAATGATGTGATTTTCTTTTTTTCTATCCAAGTTCAAAGGCCCCTTGAATTTGGACCATTGACCCCAATTTAAGAACCCTTGGCTTAGACTAAGCATCTTGGGTGAAAGGGAAATGACTGTCAACCATAGTGATCATCACAATGATTTTTATCTCTGGCTTCACAATATTTTCCAAAAGTACGAAAAAATCTAGCTATATGTGAAATGACTGATGTGAAACAGCTTGGAATAGAAGGAAAATACTAATGAAATCTGGGATAGTTAGAGTCGAGCCTCATATTTCTTGAGCTATAATTTGATACACACATATACATGTATACATAAACACACATACACACATTCATTTTTTTCCTCTAAGGTATTCTTACAGAGAACACACATACTTTTTGGCTGGCTGGGATTAGACATGAGTATGTCACTTGATCTTTTCAAATATACCACCACTATTGAAAAAATTCGATTTGAAGTTAATATCAGTAGTAGTATCTGTATGTGTGAAAGACTCTATGATTATTATGGGATTTATTAAACATATTCTTGTGCTGGGCCTTCTAATAGATCTTATGAAATATATGGAGGAAGTAAAATTCAATTCCTGATGTCAAGAAGTTGATAACCTAGGTATCATTATCTTCAGTTGTCAATGACCAGATATATCTGGATTCATTCTCAGCTCTTTCATTTACTAGTTGTTGGACCTTTGGACAAGTTAGTTACTTTTTCAGAGCCTTCCTTTACTTATCTTTAAGATAGGATCAATGCTAGTTCCTCCTCAGATAATCATTGCTCAGTAAATGTTAGCTGTTTTTTATTGTTGTTCTTAATCACTCACATCATCTTTGTTTACTTTCTAAATGTGAGTTCTGTGTTGATCTCTTTTCAGGATTTTGAACGTTCCCGAGCCTTTAATTTTCTGAATGAGATAAAGAAGAGGTTCCAGACTACTTACGGTTCAAGAGCACAGACAGCACTTCCATATGCCATGAATAGCGAGTTCTCAAGTGTCTTAGCTGCACAGCTGGTAAGATCTTTCTCAGGATAAGGTATTTTGATTTATATCTTCTTCATTACCTTCAAACACTATGAATCTAGGGGGCCCTGACCTGCAATATAGTTTTCTGATTGTGTTACTGTAAGCCAACATAATAAAACTTCCCTGATTAAAAAAAAAATGTAAAGGGGCCATTTTAGGGTAGAAAACAGTGATAGTCTTTATTATCTCTATTAATAGTGGTCACAGTGTCTCATGATTGGAAGAGCATTAAAGATCATCTAGTTGAACTACCCATCTGATGCTTAAATGTGTTCAGCATGCCAAATGATCTTTTAAACTATACGTAAACCTTCTACCCTTCCATGAGGGAAATTTAATTTTCTAACAACCCAAATTAATAATTTGAAACTCTCCTCATCTGTATGAATCCCTAATTGTCAGCTTAGTGAGGTTTTACATGTGAATATACCTGTGAAATACCACTGTACTTAAGACAGCATTTTAATCACCCTAAAAGTTCCCTCATATCCCTTACCAGTTGGTCCCCTCCCCTACACTTTGCCCCAGGCAACCACGGATCTGTTTTCTATCACTATAAATTAGTTTTGTCTTTCATAGAACTTTCTGTAAATAGAATCATACAGTATGTAAACTTTCTGTAAATGGAATCATACAGTATGTACTTTTTTGTGTCTTGCTTGTTTCAGTCAGTGTAAGGCTCTTGATATTCTTCCATGTTGTATAAATCAGTAGTTTGTTCCCCTTTTTGCTAAGTAGTAGTATATGCATATACCACAATTTGTTTATCCATCCACCTGTTGCTGGATATTTGGGTTGCTTCCAGTTTTCAGCTATCATGAATAAAGCTGCTGTTAACCTCCATGTATAAGTCTTTGTGTGGACATATGTTTTTATTTCTCTCTGATAAATACCTAGGAATGGAATTGCTGGGTCATATGGTAGGTGATGTGTAATTGAAAAAAAAAAATCACCACTTTTTTTTCCAAAGTGGTTGTACCATTTTATATTCTCACCAGCAGTTCCAGTGTCTCTGCGTCCTTGCCAGTACTTGATGTGGTCTTAAGTTTTGCCATTCCAGTTGATGTGTAATGGTATCTCATTGTGGTTTTAATTTATGTTTTCATGATGTCAGACACCTTTCGAAATGCTTCCCTTTTATCCATGAAACTATTTGAGTATAAAGACGTAAGCTCTAGCTATGATTTTGTTGTGAGTTTAAAAAAAAGCTGTATTGTAATGGAATACTTTCACTTCTCCTGTGGTTTTAATACTCTGAGTATTACATTTCTAAATTTTATGCACACACACACACACGCACACACATACTCTTCTGGCAATAAAGTCCCTTTAAATTGGTTACTTATAAACCTTTATTATTCAAGCAGTTGGTTTGTTTCATACTCCCCACTAGGAAATGTTCATCTGTGTAAAACTGTGTAAAACACTACCCACAACAAAAATACCAGTACTTAGTCAAAAGTAAAGGGTCAGCTAGAAACAAAACTTTCAAATTAACCAATTTGTCATTAGCTCTAGATCTGTGTGACCTTCTGAACAAAATCTCTACCTGTTCCTTTGTCTGTAAATAGAGATAATAGCATCGTTTCATAGAGTTTTGGGGTGGATTAAATAATATCCCGTTTGAAGCACTTAACACAATGAAATGACTGGAACATTGTGTATTAAGCACCCCATAATTGCTAGCTATGGATAAATAATTTCAAACTATATATTATCAGTGTCTTAGATTCTAGATCCTGTGAGAAGCCAATAAAAATAGTTTATATGCTGTGATCCTGGCAGATACAAGAACAGATTCTGAGAAGCTGGGCCAGCCCCTACCTCATCATACTCAAGAAGTGGGGAACAATTTTGCAGCATTCTTTCCCCCACTGCCCCAACTACAGTCTTCTTTTTCTCCTTTCTTCCTTGTCTGAGCACAGATTATATATCCCCCCCAATCTCTGCCCCACAAGTCACATGTATATTTGATATAATGTTTATTTTTATTTTATTTAAAATAAGGTAATTTTTAGACTACATACTTATAGTTTGTATAGAAGCATTTTTTATGCTGCCCATATTTTTTCCTGGGTATTGTAACATTTTTCCAGTGAAGTGACATGTATCTTTTATATCAATAGAGACATAATTTTATAGCATTCCTCAGTGTAAATTGTCATTCCCCTTATTTTTGTTTTCCTATTGTAAATAATGTCTAGGTACCATAAGTTAAAACTTATTTTCTTATAGAAGCATCACTCTGAGAATAAGGGCCTAGACAAAGTGATGGAGACTCAAGCCCAAGTGGATGAACTGAAAGGAATCATGGTCAGAAACATAGGTATGTTTCATGGCATAGTTTCATGCATGTGGGCAAAAATGATAAAGATTACTTGACTGGGGTCAAATTATTCTAGAGAAGCCAAAATAGCACTTCCTTATTCTTACCATTGGAAGTTAATTGTCAGCTGAGACAACTGTGATACTGTCTGCTTGTGCAAATGGTTTCTTCTTTGTCCTTGCAACTATTCTTCATTCTAAATTTACTAGTTTGCTTAACAAGACTAATTTCTAAGAACCTTATGATAATTCAGCAGTTTAGAATAATTTGGTCAGTGTGATTGTACAGTATTTCACTGAGTTAATGTATCACGGGTTACCTAACCTTGCCTGAATTTTGGACGCATAGGTTCTTTAGCACAGTGTTAGAGTGCTGTTTTGCAACCAGATAAGGAGCTTGCTGAAGAATGTCAATCAATATTGTGCTTCCTTCACTGAGGCCCTCTTGCTATGAAAATGTCAATTGGACTGAACAGTATGCTTAGAGACTTAGTCAACCAGTTGCAAATACTCTTAAGTAGGACTGATTTAGAAGTTTATCCTACAGTAGTAACCATACTGTTATATTTTTGTGCCTATTATGTTTTTCTTATTTTCTTGAGATTAATTATCAGGAATGGGATTAATAATCAAAATGCGCAAACGTTTTCGTGGTTCTTGATATGTACGTCTTGGCTATTTAAAGTGATTTCCTTTAATTGATTTTAGTTTTAATTATATATCTAGATAGAGACTAGAGAATCTGTTGAGACAACTACTATTTATTTTTATTCTTTTTTTTGTCACCAAATGTATTTATTTTGCCCGAAAGTGGAGGCAGACAATTGCTACAATATTATTTATTGCAGATGCATAAAGTTTCCAGAAAAATCAACGTTTTTAATCGACTCCTTTTAAATGACTTATTTATTTTTAGAGTTATAGAAACAGCAAATTTAATCCATCTTGAATTAATTTTTGTATAAGGTATAAGGAAGGGATCCAGTTTCAGCTTTCTACATATGGCTAGCCAGTTTTCCCAGCACCATTTATTAAATAGGGAATCCTTTCCCCATTGCTTGTTTTTCTTAGGTTTGTCAAAGATCAGATGGTTGTAGATATGTGGCGTTATTTCTGAGGGCTCTGTTCTGTTCCATTGATCTATATCTCTGTTTTGGTACCAGTACCATGCTGTTTTGGTTACTATAGCCTTGTAGTATAGTTTGAAGTCAGGTAGCATGATGCCTCCAGCTTTGTTCTTTTGGCATAGGATGGACTTGGTGATGCGGGCTCTTTTTTGGTTCCATATGAACTTTAAAGTAGTTTCTTCCAATTCTGTGAAGAAAGTCATTGGTAGCTTGATGGGGATGGCATTGAATCTATAAATTACCTTGGGCAGTATGGCCATTTTCATGATATTGATTCTTCCTACCCATGAACATGGAATGTTCTTCCATTTCTTTGTATCCTCTTTTATTTCACTGAGCAGTGGTTTGTAGTTCTCCTTGAAGTGGTCCTTCACATCCCTTGTAAGTTGGATTCCTAGGTATTTTATTCTCTTTGAAGCAACTGTGAATGGGAGTTCACTCATGATTTGACTCTCTGTCCGTTATTGGTGTATAAGAATGCTTGTGATTTTTGTACATTGATTTTGTATCCTGAGACTTTGCTGAAGTTGCTTATCAGCTTAAGGGGATTTTGGGCTGAGACAATGGGGTTTTCTAGATATACAATCATGTCATCTGCAAATAGGGACAATTTGACTTCCTCTTTTCCTAATTGAATACCCTTTATTTCCTTCTCCTGCCTGATTGCCCTGGCCAGAACTTCCAACACTATGTTGAATAGGAGTGGTGAGAGAGGGCATCCCTGTCTTGTGCCAGTTTTCAAAGGGAATGCTTCCAGTTTTTGCCCATTCAGTATGATATTGGCTGTGGGTTTGTCATAGATAGCTCTTATTATTTTGAGATACATCCCATCAATACCTAATTTATTGAGAGTTTTTAGCATGAAGGGTTGTTGAATTTTGTCAAAGGCCTTTTCTGCATCTATTGAGATAATCATGTGGTTTTTGTCTTTGGTTCCGTTTATATGCTGGATTACATTTATTGATTTGCGTATACTGAACCAGCCTTGCATCCCAGGGATGAAGCCCACTTGATCATGGTGGATAAGCTTTTTGATGTGCTGCTGGATTCGGTTTGCCAGTATTTTATTGAGGATTTTTGCATCAATGTTCATCAAGGATATTGGTCTAAAATTCTCTTTTTTGGTTGTGTCTCTGCCCGGCTTTGGTATCAGGATGATGCTGGCTTCATAAAATGAGTTAGGGAGGACTCCCTCTTTTTCTATTGATTGGAATAGTTTCAGAAGGAATGGTACCAGTTCCTCCTTGTACCTCTGGTAGAATTCTGCTGTGAATCCATCTGGTCCTGGACTCTTTTCGGTTGGTAAGCTATTGATTATTGCCACAATTTCAGAGCCTGTTATTGGTCTATTCAGAGATTCAACTTCTTCCTGGTTTAGTCTTGGGAGGGTGTATGTGTCGAGGAATTTATCCATTTCTTCTAGATTTTCTAGTTTATTTGCGTAGAGGTGTTTGTAGTATTCTCTGATTGTAGTTTGTATTTCTGTGGGATCGGTGGTGATATCCCCTTTATCATTTAGACCTAAAACCATAAAAACCGTAGAAGAAAACCTAGGCATTACCATTCAGGACATAGGCATGGGCAAGGACTTCATGTCTAAAACACCAAAAGCAATGGCAACAAAAGCCAAAATTGACAAATGCGATCTAATTAAACTAAAGAGCTTCTGCACAGCAAAAGAAACTACTATCAGAGTGAACAGACAACCTACAAAATAGGAGAAAATTTTCACAACCTACTCATCTGACAAAGAGCTAATATCCAGAATCTACAATGAACTCAAACAAATTTACAAGAAAAAAACAAACAACCCCATCAAAAAGTGGGCGAAGGACATGAACAGACACTTCTCAAAAGAAGACATTTATGCAGCCAAAAAACACATGAAAAAATGCTCACCATCACTGGCCATCAGAGAAATGCAAATCAAAACCACAATGTGATACCATCTCACACCAGTTAGAATGGCAGTCATTAAAAAGTCAGGAAACAACAGTTACTGGAGAGGATGTGGAGAAATAGGAACACTTTTACACAGTTGGTCGGACTGTAAACTAGTTCAACCCTTGTGGAAGTCAGTGTGGCGATTCCTCAGGGATCTAGAACTAGAAATACCATTTGACCCAGCCATCCCATTACTGGGTATATACCCAAGGACTATAAATCATGCCGCTATAAAGACACATGCACACGTATGTTTATAGCGGCAGTATTCACAATAGCAAAGACTTGGAACCAACCCAAATGTCCAACAATGATAGACTGGATTAAGAAAATGTGGCACATATACACCATGGAATACTATGCAGCCATAAAAAATGATGAGTTCATGTCCTTTGTAGGGACATGGATGAAATTGGAAATCCTCATTCTCAGTAAACTATCGCAAGAACAAAAAACCAAACACCGCATGTTCTCACTCATAGGTGAGAATTGAACAATGAGAACACATGGACACAGGAAGGGGAACATCACACTCTGGGGACTGTTGTGGGGTGGGGGGAGGGGGAAGGATAGCTTTAGGAGATATACCTAATGCTAAATGACGAGTTAATGGGTGCAGCACACCAGCATGGCACATGTATACATATGTAACAAACCTGCACATTGTGCACATGTACCCTAAAACTTAAAGTATAATAATAATAAAATAAAATAAAAAAAGCAAATTTAAAATGTGACAAGAACATTCCTAGTTAATTCCCTTTCATTTTTTTAACAGCTTAATTGAAATATAATTCACATATCATATAATTCACCCATTTAAAGTATACAGTCAGTGGTTACTATATTCACAGAATTGTACAACCATTGCTGCGATCAATTTTGTAACATTTTTATCATCCCTAAATGAAGCCCTGTACTCATTTGCAGTTGCTCCTCAACTCTCAGACCTAAGCAACAATTAATTCCCTTTTCTTCTTCATAAATTTGCCTATTCTGGACATTTCGTATAAATGGAATCTTGTAATATGTGGCCTTTTGTGTCTTCGTTCACTTAGCGTAATGATTGTGAGATTCATTCATGTCGTAGCATAAATCAATACTTAATTCTTTTTTATGACTAATAATTCCAATGCATTAATGCATTTTATGTATCTACTCATTAGTTCATGGTCTGGTTATTATAAATAATGCTGCTATGAACATTTGTGTACAAGTTTTTGTGTGAGCATATATATATATTATATATTATATATATATATATATGTTTTTGGTTCTCTTGCTTACATACCTAGGAATAGAATTGCTGGATCACATGGCAACTTTGTAACATTTTGAAGAAGGGCCAAACTTTCCTAAAGTGACTGCACCTTTATACATTCCTAATAGCAATGTATGAGGATTCTGATTCCTCCACATCCTTGCCAAAACTTATCTTTTTTGATTATACCCAGTCTAGTGAAATGGTACTTTATTGTGATTTTGATTTGCATTTCCCTGATGACTAATGATGTTGAGCATTTTTTCATGTGCTTATAGGCCATTCGTATATTTTCTTTACCTTTGGAGAAATGTCTATTTAAAAATACTTTATTGTTTTTAAGTGGGTTATTTGTCTTTTTATGGTTGAGCTATAACAGTACTTTATATATTCTGGATACTAGACCCTTATCAGATACATGATTTTCAAATATTTTGCTCTATTCTGTGAGTTGTCTTTTCATTTTCTTGATGGTGTTCTTTGAAGCACAACAGTTTTTATGAAGTCCAATTTATTTTTTTCTTTAGTTTGTGCTTTGAATAACATATCTAAGAAACTGTCGCCTAAGCCAAGATCATGAAGATTTACTACTTTGTTTTCTTCTAAGACTAGTTTTAGCTCTTACATTTCTATCTATGATCTATTTTGAGTTAATGTTTATGTATGGAATAAAGAAGAGATCCAACTTAATTCTGTTGAATATGTATATACAGTTGTTCCAGAACCATTTGCTGAAAAGGCTTTTCTTTCCCTGTTGAATGATCTTAGCATTCTTATCAAAAATTAGTTATCAATGGATGTATAGCTTTGTTTCTGGACCTTCAGTTCTGTTCAGTTTATCTTTATGCCAGTACCAGGCTGTCATGATTATTATAGCTTTGTAGTAGGTTTTAAAATCAGGAAATATTCATCTTCCAACTTTATTCTTTCTCAAAATTGCTTTGACTATTCTGGGTACCTTTCATTTTCATGAACTTTAGGATGAGCTTGTCAATTTCAGATAGCAAAAAAAGCTATCTGGGATTTTGATAGGGATTGTGTTGAATCTGTAGATCAATTAGGGAGCCATTTTAACAATATTAAACTTCTGATCCATGAACATGGGCTTTCTTTCTATTCATTTAGGTTTCTTTAATTTTTTCCAACAATGTTTTGTAGTTTTCAGTGTGCAAGTCTTACATGACAAAGACTCTGCTTCACCAAATTTTAGACAAGCTCCTCTGAGCACTCTGTTAAACTAGGTCTCATCCTCGGGCTCTGTCCTTGGCCTGCCTAAGGAAGTCTTAGCAAAGAATCCTGCTAATACCCCACCCTTGATCAAGTTCCTTGTCCCCTATATTTGTTATATAAGTCCGGCCAGCTTTTAGCAGGAATCCTGTTAGGCCAGTTTAGAGAGAATCCCCTTGCCCTTGATGCCTCCTCTTAGTAATTTTCCATCCTCTGACCCCCTCACTCTGTTCATTGGCCACAAATCCCCACTGGTCTTGGTTGTGTTAGGAGTTGAGCTCAATCTCTCCCCTCCATTGTGATAGCCTTGACCCCTATTGCAGTAATCTCAAAATCTGCCTTACCATTTTTTAACCAGTGTCAGAATAATTTTTCTTTAACAATATCTCTTCTAACATCCTTCTTGCCTTGTTCCTAAGTATTTTTTTATGCTATTGTAAATGGAATTTTTCTCTTTCATTTTCGGATTGTTCAGTACTAATGTATAGAAATTTTATTGATTTTTATAAATTGGTGTTGTATCATACAACCTTGTTCTCCTTTATTAGTTCTAATAGCTTTTTAATAGTTTCCTTAGGATTTTCTCTATATAGAATCATGCTACTTGCAAATAGAGATAGTTTTAATTCTTCCTTTTCAGTCTGGATGCTTTTCATTTCTTTTTATTGCTTATTTGCCCTAGCTAGAACCTCCAGTATAATGTTGAATAGAAGTGGTAAGAGTGGACATCATTGTCTTATTCCTGCTCTTAGGGAGATCTTGAAGAATCTTCCACAATTAAGTATGAGGTTAGCTGTGGGTTTTTCATAGATGTCCTTTATCAGGTTGAGGAAGTTTCTTTTTCTTATTTGTTGAGTGGTTTTATCATTAAACAGTGTTGGATTTTGTCAATTTTTTTTACATCTATTGAAATGATGGTTTTTGTTCTTTATTAATATGATGTATTATAACAATTGATTTTCAGATATTAAATCAACCTTGTGTTTCTGAAATGAATCCCACTGCATCATGGTGTATAGTCCTTTTTGCATATTATTGGATTCATCCTGCCAGTAGTCTGTTGAGGATTTGTTAAATGTCTGTATTTTTAAGAGTTGTTGGTATATCATTTTCTTTTATTTATTTATTTATTTTATTATTTTTTTTTATTGATCATTCTTGGGTGTTTCTCACAGACGGGGATTTGGCAGGGTCATGGGACAATAGTGGAGGGAAGATCAGCAGATAAACAAGTGAACAAAGGTCTCTGGTTTTCCTAGGCAGAGGACCCTGCGGCCTTCCACAGTGTTTGTGTCCCTGGGTACTTGAGATTAGGGAGTGGTGATGACTCTTAACGAGCATGCTGCCTTCAAGCATCTGTTTAACAAAGCACATCTTGCACCGCCCTTAATCCATTTAACCCTGAGTGGACACAGCACATGTTTCAGAGAGCACAGGGTTGGGGGTAAGGTCATAGATCAACAGGATCCCAAGGCAGAAGAATTTTTCTTAGTACAGAACAAAATGAAAAGTCTCCCATGTCTACTTCTTTCTTCACAGACACAGCAACCATCCGATTTCTCAATCTTTTCCCCACCTTTCCCCCTTTTCTATTCCACAAAACCGCCATTGTCATCATGGCCCGTTCTCAATGAGCTATTGGGTACACCTCCCAGACGGGGCGGCTGCTGGGCGGAGGGGCTCCTCACTTCGCAGACGGGGCGGCTGCCGGGTGGAGGGTCTCCTCACTTCTCAGACAGGGCGGCCGGGCAGCGACGCTCCTCACCTCCCAGAAGGGGCGGCGGGGCAGAGGCGCTCCCCACATCTCAGACGATGGGCGGCCGGGCAGAGACGCTCCTCACTTCCTAGATGGGATGGCGGCTGGGCAGAGACGCTCCTCACTTCCTAGATGGGATGGCGGCCGGGCAGAGACGCTCCTCACTTTCCAGACTGGGCAGCCAGGCAGAGGGGCTCCTCACATCCCAGACGATGGGTGCCCAGGCAGAGACGCTCCTCACTTCCCAGACGGGGTGGCGGCTGGGCAGAGGCTGCAATCTCGGCACTTTGGGAGGCCAAGGCAGGCGGCTGGGAGGTGGAGGTTGCAGCGAGCCGAGATCGCGCCACTGCACTCCAGCCTGGGCACCATTGAGCACTGAGTGAACGAGACTCCGTCTGCAATCCCGGCACCTCGGGAGGCCGAGGCTGGCGGATCACTCGCGGTTAGCAGCTGGAGACCAGCCCGGCCAACACAGCGAAACCCCGTCTCCACCAAAAAAATACGAAAACCAGTCAGGCGTGGCAGCACTCGGCAGGCTGAGGCAGGAGAATCAGGCAGGGAGGTTGCAGTGAGCCGAGATAGCAGTAGTACAGTCCAGCTTCGGCTGGGCATCAGAGGGAGACCGTGGAAAGAGAGGGAGAGGGAGACCGTGGGGAGAGTGAGAGGGGGAGGGGGAGAGGGAGAGGGAGAGCCATTTTCTTTTCTTGTGATGTCTTTGGTTTTGATACCAGGGTAATGCTGGGCTCATAGAATGAGTCAAGAAGTGTTCCCCTTTTCTTCTATTTTGGAAAGATTTGTGAAAGTTTTGTATTAATTCTTGAAATGTTTGGTAGAATTCACCTTTGAAGCCACCTGGGCTTGGGCTTTTCTTTGTGTGAAGCTTTTTTGTTTTTGTTTTTGTTTTTTGAGATGGGGTCTGTCTGTCACCCAGGCTGGAGTGCAGTGACATGATCCTCTCTAATTCCTCTTTCATTCCCTTGGTGGGAGGGTTACCTGCAGCCTTGACCTCCTGGGCTCAGGTAATCTTCCCACCTCAGCCTCCCAAGCAGCTGGGACTGCAGGCATGTGCCACCACACCTGGCTAATTTTTGTTTTTTGGTTTTTTTGTAGAGACAAGGTCTTGCCATGTTGCCCAGGCTAGTCTCAAACTCCTGGGCTCAAGCGATCCACTTGCCTCAGCCTACCAAAGTGCTAGGATTACAGGCATGAGCCTCCATGCCCGGCCTGAAGTTTTAAAATTACTGATTTAGTCTCTATGCTTGCTGTAGCTATTCAGATTTTTTATTTCTTCTTGAGTCTGTTTAGCAGTTTGTATCTTTCTAGGAATTTGTGCATTTCATCTAAGTTACCTAATTTATTTACACACTCCTGTTTATAGAATTCCCCTAAGATCCTCTTCATTTTGTAAGTTTGGTGGTGATGTCTCCTCTTTCATTTCTGATTTTAGTAATGTAAGTTTTTTCTGTTTTACTTGGTCATTCTACGTAAAGGTTTGTCAATTTTATTGATCTTTCTAAAGAACCAACTTCTGGTTTCATAGATTTTTTTTCTATAGTTTTTCTGTTCTCTATTTAATTTGTTCACCCTAATATTTATTTCCTTCCCACTGCTAGCTTTAGATTTAGTTTACCCTTCTTTTCTAGATCCATAAGGTAGAAAGTTAAGTTGTTAGGTTGTTAATTTGAGATCATTTGTCTTAGCTCAGGCTGCCATAACAAAATTCCATAGACGTAGTGACTTAAACAACAGAAATTTATTTTCTCACATTTCTGGAGGCTAGAAGTCCAAGATCACGGTGCCAGTATGGTCAGGTTCTGGTAAGGGCTCTCTTCCTGGCTTGCAGACAGCATCTTCTCTCTCTGTTCTCCCATCAGGCAAGGAAAAGAGAGCTAGCTGTCTAGTGTCTTTTATTTAATTGATACATAATATTTGTACACATTTATGGGGTACGTGTGATATTTTGTTACATGCAAAGACTGTGTAATGATCAAGTCAGGATATATGGGGTGTCCATCAGCTCAAGAATTTATTTCTGTGTGATGGGAACATTTCAAATTCTCTCTTCTAGCTATTTTGAAATATATAATACACTATTGTTAACTTTAGTCACCCTACTCTGCTATCAAACATTAGAACTTATTCCTTCTATCCAACTGTGTGTTTGTACCTATTAACCATCCTCTCATATTCCCTGCTCGGCCCCACATACCCACACCCTTCCTAGCCTCTGGTATCTATTGTGCTATTGTCTACCTCCATGAGATCAACTGTTTTAGTTCCCACATGTGAGTAAGAACATGTGATATTTGTCTTTCCATGCCTGCCTTATATCACTTAACATAATAACCTCCAGTTACATCCATGTTGCTGTAAATGGCATGACTTCATTCTATTTCATGGTCAAATAGTATTCCATTGTGTTTATAAACCACATTTTCTTTATCCATTCATCCATTCATGGACACTTAGGTTGACTCCATATCTTTGCTATTGTGAATAGGGATGCAATAAATATGCAAGTGCAGATATCCCGTCTATACACTGATTTCTTTTCCTTTGCATAAATACCCAGTAGTAGGATTGCTGGATCATATGGTAGTTTAATTTTTAGTTTTTGGGGAAATCTCCACACTGGTTTCCATAGTAGCTGCACTAGTTTACTTTCCCACCAACAGTGTGTAAGTGTTTTTTTTTTTTTTCCTTATACTAGCCAGCATCTGTTATTTTGTATCTTTTTAGTAACCATTCTAACTGGGGTAACATGATATCTCATTTTGGCTTTTATTTGCATTTCTATGATGTTGAGCATTTTTTCATATACCTTTTGGCCATTTGTATGTCTTCTTTTGAGAAATGGCTATTCATGTCCTCTGCCCACTTTTTAAGGGGATTATTTGTATATCTCCTGTTGAGTTCATTATATATTCTGGATATTATTCCCTTATCAAATGAATAGTTTGCAACTATTTTCTCCCATTCAACTGGTTGTCTCTTCACTCTTGATTATTTCCTTTGCTGTGCAAAAGCTTTTTTGTTTAATATAGTCCTATTTGTCTATTTTTCTTTTCGTTACCTGTCCTTTTGAGGTGTTAGCCATAAAATCTTTTCCTAGAGCAGTGTTCTGAAGTGTTTCCCCTATGTTTTCTTCTAGTAGGTTTATAGTTCTGGGTCTGAAATTTAAGTCTTTAATCTATCTTGGTTGATTTTTGTATGTGATGAGAGACAGAGGTCCAGTTTAATTCTTCCACATATGGATATCCAGTTTTCCCAATACCATTTATTGAAGAAAGTGTCCTTTCCCCAGTGTACGTCCTTGGCACCTTTGTTGAAAATCAGTTGCCTATATATGTGTGGCTGTACATACGTGGATCAATGTCTGGCTTTTCTATTCTATTCCATCGACCTTGTGTCTGTTTTTATACCAAACCATGCTGTTTTGGTTACTGTAGCCTTGTAATATGTTTTGAAGTCAGGTAGTGTGATGCCTCCAGCTTTGTTCATTTTGCTCAGGATTGCTTTGGCTATTTGGACTCTTTTTTGGTTCCTGAAATACTAATTTTAGGATTGTTTTTTCTGTTTCTGTGAAAAATGACATTGGTACTTCGATAGAGATTGCATTGAATCTGTAGATTGCTTTGGGCTTATGGTCATTTTAATAATATACATTCTTATGATCCATGACCATAAGATGTCTTTCTGTATCTTTGTGTCATCTTCAGTTTTTTTCATCAGTGTTTTGTAGTTTTACTTGTAGGAGTCTTTCACCTACTCGTTAAATTTATTCTTCAATATTTTATATGTTCATAACTATTATAAATGGGATTACCTTCTTGATTTCATAAAGTTTTATTTCACCAAGTTGATTATTGATGCATAGAAACATTACAGATATTTGTATGTTGATTCTGTATCCTGCAACTTTACTGAATATATTTATCAGATCTAGGAGTTTTTTGGTGGAGTCTTTGGGTCTTTTAGACATAAGATCATATCATCTGCAAAGAGGGATAATTTGACATCCTCTTTTTCAATTTGGATGCCCTTTATTTCTTTCTCTTGCCTGATTGCTCTGGCTAGGACTTCCAGTATTGTGTTGAATAGGAGTAGTGAAACTGGGCTTCCTTCCAGTACTATGTTGAATAGGAGTGGTGAGAGTTTTCCATTTCTTAGAGGAAAGGCTTTTCGTTTTTCCCATTCCGTATGATGTTAGCTGTGGGTTTGTCATAAATGGCCTTTATCATGTTGAGGGATATTCCTTCTATGCCTAGTTTTTTGAGAGTTTTTATCATGAAGAGATGTTGAATTTTTTTTGATACCTTGAACTATATATTTTTATTTGAATATATAAAAGTAGAATATCCTATTTTCCTTTTGAGCTATGTCATCATACTGCTAAAATTATGGATGAAAATGGAAATATTTCAACCTGACCCATTGCAATTTCTATGTTACACATTTGCTCTTTTTTTATTATTATACTTTAAATTCTGGGATACATGTGCAGAATGTGCAGCTTTGTTACATAGGTATACACATGCCATGGTGGTTTGCTGCACCCATTAACCCATCATCTACATTAGGTATTTCTCCTAATGCTATTTCTCCCCTAGCCCCCCTACCCCCAACAGGCCCCAGTGTGTGATGTTCCCCTCCCTGTGTCCATGTGTTCTCATTGTTCAACTCCCACTTATGAGTGAGAACACGTGGTGTTTGGTTTTCTGTTCCTTTCTTACCTTGCTGAGAATGATGGTTTCCAGCTTCATCCATGTCCCTGCAAAGGACATGAACTCCTCCTTTTTTATGGCTGCATAGTATTCCATCGTGTATATGTGCCACATTTTCTTTATCCAGTCTATCATTGTTGGGCATTTGGGTTGGTTCCAAGTCTTTGCTATTGTGAACAGTGCTGCAATAAACATACGTGTGCATGTGTCTTTATAGTAAAATGATTTATAATCCTTTGGGTATATACCCAATAATGGGATTGCTGGGTCAAATGGTATTTCTGGTTCTAGATCCTTGAGGAATCGCCACACTGTCTTTGACAATGGTTGAACTAATTTACACTTCCACCAACAGTGTAAAAGCATTCCTATTGCTCCACATCCTCTCCAGCATCTGTTCTTTCCTGACTTGTTAATGATTGCCATTTAATGGTCGCCATTCTTACTGGTGTGAGAGGATATCTCATTATGGTTTTGATTTGCATTTCTCTAATGACCCGTGATGATGAGCTTTTTTTTCATATGTTTATTGGCCACATAAATGTCTTCTTTTGAGAAGTGTCTTTTCATATCCTTCACACACTTTTTGATGGGGTTGTTTTTTTCTTGTAAATTTGTTTAAGTTCCTTGTAGATTCCGGATATTAGCCCTTTGTCAGATGGATAGATTGCAAAAATTTTTTCCCATTCTGTAGGTTGCCTGTTCACTCTGATGATAGTTTCTTTTGCTGTGCAGAAGCTCTTTGCTTTAATTAGATCCCATTTGTCAATTTTGGCTTTTGTTGCCATTGCTTTTGGTGTTTTAGTCATGAAATCTTTGCCCATACCTATGTCCTGAATGGTATTGCCCAGGTTTTCTTCTAGGGATTTTATGG
This sequence comes from Homo sapiens, assembly GCF_000001405.40. Lineage (NCBI taxonomy): Eukaryota > Metazoa > Chordata > Mammalia > Primates > Hominidae > Homo > Homo sapiens. The sequence continues at coordinate 57,100,020 of NC_000024.10, forward strand.
TTTTAAGTCTTATGTTTAAGTCTTTAATCCATCTTGAGTTAATTTTTGTATAAGGTGTAAGGAAGGGGGCCAGTTTCAGTTTTCTGAATATGGCTAGCCAGTTTTCCCAACACCATTTATTAAATAGGGAATCCTTTCCCCATTGCTTGTTTTTGTCAGGTTTGTCAAAGATCAGATGGTTGTAGATGTGTAGCGTTATTTCTGAGGCCTCTGTTCTGTTCCATTGGTCTATGTATCTGTTTTGGTACCAATACCATGCTGTTTTGGTTACTGTAGCCTTGTAGTATAATTTGAAGTCAGGTAGCGTGATGTCTCCAGCTTTGTTCTTCTTGCTTAGGATTGTCTTGGCTATGTGGGCTCTTTTTTGGTTCCAAATGAAATTTAAAGTAGTGTTTTTCTAATTCTGTGAAGAAAGTCAATGGTAGCTGGATGGGGATAGCATTGAATCTATAAATTACTTTGGGCAGTTTGGCCATATTCTTCCTATCCATGAGCATGGAATGTTTTTCCATTCATTTGTGTCCTCTCTTATTTCCTTGAGCAGTGGTTTGTCATTCTCCTTGAAGAGGTCCTTCACATCCCCTGTAAGTTGTATTTCTAGGTATTTTATTCTCTTTGTAGCAATTGTGAATGGGAGTTCACTCATGATTTGGCTCTCTGTTTGTCTTTTATTGGTGTATAGGAATGCTTGTGATTTTTGCACATTGATTTTGCATTCTGATACTTTGCTGAAGTTGCTTATCAGCTTAAGGAGATTTTGGGCTGAGACAATGGGGTTTTCTAAATATACAATCATGTCATCTGCAAAGAGAGACAATTTGACTTCCTCTCTTCCTATTTGAATACCCTTTATTTCTTTCTCTTGCCTGATTGCCCTGGACAGAACTTCCAATACTATGTTGAATAGGAGTGGTGAGGGAGGGCATCCTTGTCTTGTGCTGGTTTTCAAAGGGAATACTTCCAGCTTTTGCCCATTCAGTATGATATTGGATGTGGGTTTGTCATAAATAGTTCTTATTATTTTGAGATGCATTCCATCAATACCTAGTTTATTGAGAGTTTTTAGCATAAAGCGGTGTTGAATTTTATCGAAGGCCTTTTCTGCATCTATTGAGATAATCATGTGGTTTTTGTCATTGGTTCTTTTTCTGTGATGGATTACGTTTATTGATTTGCGTATGTTGAACCAGTCTTGCATCCCAGTGATGAAGCTGACCTGATCGTGGTGGATAAGCTTTTTGATGTGCTGATGGGTTCGATTTGCCAGTATTTTATTGAGGATTTTCGCATCAGTGTTCATCAGGGATATTGGCCTGAAATTTTCCTTTTTGGTTGTGTCTCTGCCAGGCTTTGGTATCAGGATGATGCTGGCCTCATAAAATGAGTTAGGGAGGAGTCCCTCTTCTTCTGTTGTTTGGAATAGTTTCAGAAGGAATGGTACCAGCTCCTCTTTATACCTCTGGTGGAATTCAGCTGTGAATCCTTCTGGTCCTGGACCTTTTTTGTTTGGTAGGCTATTAATTACTGCCTCAAGTTCAGAACTTGTTATTGTTGTATTCAGGGATTTGACTTCTTCCTGGTTCAGTCTTGGGAGGGTGTATGTGTCCAGGAATTTATCCATTTCTTCCAGATTTTCTAGTTTACTTGCATAGAGGTGTTTATAGTATTCTCTGATGGTAGTTTGTATTTCTGTGGGATCAGTGGTGATACCCCCTTTATCATTTTTTATTGTTTCTATTTGATTCTTCTCTCTTTTCTCCTTTATTAGTCTCGCTAGCAGTCTATCAATTTTGTTAATCTTTTCAAAAAACCAGCTCCTGGATTCATTGATTCTTTTTGAAGGGTTTTTCATGTCTCTTTCTCCTTCAGTTCTGCTCTGATCTTAGTTATTTCTTGTCTTCTGCTACCTTTGAATTTGTTTGCTCTTGCTTCTCTAGTTCTTTTAATTGTGATGTTAGGGTGTTGACTTTAAATCTTTCCCACTTTTTGCTGTGGGCATTTAGTGCTATAAATTTCCCTCTAAATACTGCTTTAGCTGTGTCCCAGAGATTCTGGTACGTTGTGTCTTTATTCTCATTGGTTTCAAAAAACTTATTTATTTCTGCCTTAATTTTGTTATTTACCCAGTAGTCATTCAGGAACAGGTTGTTCATTTTCCATGTAGTTGTGCAGTTTTGAGTGAGTTTCTTAATCCTGAGTTCTAATTTGATGGCACTGTGGTCTGAGAGACTGTTGGTTACGATTTCCATTTTTTGCATTTGCTGAGGAGTGTTTTACTTCCAATTATGTGATCAACTTTAGAATAAGTGCAATGTGGTGCTGAGAAGAATGTATATTCTGTTGATTTGGCTTGGAGAGTACTGTAGATGTCTATTAGGTCCTCTTGGTCCAGAGCTGAGTTCAAGTCCTGAATATCCTTGTTAATATTCTGTCTCAATCTAATATTGACAGTGGGTGTTAAAGTCTCCTACTATTATTGTGTGGGAGTCTGAGTCTCTTTGTAGGTCTGTAAGAACTTGCTTTATGAATCTGGGTGCTCCTGTATTGGGTGCATATATATTTAGGATAGTTAGCTCTTCTTGTTGCATTGATCCCTTTACCATTATGTAATGCCCTTTTTTGTCTTTTTTGATCTTTGTTGGTTTAAAGTCTGTTTTATCAGAGACTAGGATTGCAGCCACTGCTTTTTTTTGCTTTCCATTTGCTTAGTAAATAATCCTCTATCCCTTTATTTTGAGCCTGTGTGTGTCTTTGCACATGAGATGGGTCTCCTGAATGCAGCACATGGGTGGGTCTTGATTCTTTATTCAATTTGCCAGTCTGTGTCTTTTATTTGGGGCATTTACCCCATTTACATTTAAGGTTAATATTGTTATGTGTGAATTTGATCCTGTGATTATAATGCTAGTTGGTTATTTTGCTTGTTAGTCGATATAGTTTCTTCATAGTGTTGATGGTCTTTACAGTTTGATATGTTTTTGCAGTGGCTGGTACTGGTTTTTCCTTTCCATATTTAGTGCTTCCTTCAGGACCTCTTGTAAGGCAGGCCTGGTGGTGACAAAATCTCTCAGCATTTGCATGTCTGTAAAGGATTTTATTTCTCCTTCACTTATAAAGCTTAGTTTGGTTGGATATGAAATTCTGGGTTGAAAATTCTTTTCTTTAAGAATGTTGAATATTCGCCCCCAGTCTCTTCTGGCTTGTAGGGTTTCTGTCGAGAGATCTGCTGTTAGTCTGATGGGCTTCCCTTTGTGGGTAGCCTGACCTTTCTCTCTGGCTGCCCTTAACATTTTTTCCTGCATTTCATCCTTGGTGAATCTGACGATTATGTGTCTTGGAGTTGCTCTTCTCGAGGAGTATCTTTGTGGTGTTCTCTGTATTTCCCAAATTTGAATGTTGACCTATCTTGCTAGGTTGGGGAAGTTCTCCTGGTTAATATCCTAAAGAATGTTTTCCAACTTGGTTCTGTTCTCCCTGTCACTTTCAAGCACACCAATCAAACATAGGTTTGGTCTTTTCATATAGTCCCATATGTCTTGGAGCCTTTGTTCATTCCTTTTCATTATTTTTTCTCTAATCTTGTCTTCACACTTTATTTCATTAAGTTGATCTACAATCTCTGATATCCTTTCTTCCACCTGATCAGTTCGGCTATTGATACTTTTGTATGCTTCACAAAGTTCTCGTGCCGTGTTTTTCAGTCCCATCAGGTCATTTATGTTCTTCTCTAAACTGGCTATTCTAGTTAGCAATTCCTCTAACCTTTTTTCAAGGTCCTTAGTTTCCTTGCATGGGGTTAGAACATTCTCCTTTAGCTTGGAGGAGTTTGTTATTATCCACCTTCTGAAGCCTGCTTCTGTCAATTTGTCAAACTCATTCTCCGTCCAGTTTGTTCTCTTGGAATTTTCAGCCTTTTTGCACTGGTTTTTCCTCATCTTCATGGATTTATCTACCTTTGGTCTTTGATGTTGGTGACCTTTGGATGGGGTTTCTATGTGGACATCCTTTTTGTTGATGTTGATGCTATTCCTTTCTGTTTGTTAGTTTTCCTTCTAACAGGCCTCTCTGCTGCAGGTCTGCTGGAGTTTGTTGGAGGTCCACTCCAGACCCAGTTTGCCTGGGTATCACCAGCGGAGGCTGCAGAACAGCAAAGATTGCTGCCTGTTCCTTCCTCTGGAAGCTTCGTCCCAGAGGGGCACCTGCCAGATGCCAGCCAGAGCTCTCCTGTATGAGATGTCTGTCGACTCCTGCTGGGAGGTATCTTCCAGTCAGGAGGCATGGAGCTCAGGGACCCACTTGAGGAGGCAGTCTATACTTTAGCAGAGCTTGAGCACTGTGCTGGGATTGCCGCTGCTCTCTTCCGAACTGGCAGGCAGGAACGTTTAAGTCTGCTGAAACTGAGTCCACAGCCACCCCTTCCCCCAGGTGCTCGGTCCCAAGGAGATGGGAGTTTTATCTATAAGCCTCTGGCTGGGGCTGCTGCCTTTCTTTCAGAGATGCGCTGCCCAGAGAGGAGGAATCTAGAGAGGCAGTCTGGCTACAGGGACTTTGCGGAGCTGCGGTGGGCTCTCCCCGGTTCAAACTTCCTGGCCACTCTGTTTACACAGTGAGGGGAAAACTGCCTACTCAAGCCTCAGTAATGGCAGACGCCCCTCCCTCCACCAAGCTCGAGTGTCCCAGGTCGACTTCAGACTGTTGTGCTGGCAATGAGAATTTCAAGCCAGTGGATCTTAGCCTGCTGGGCTCCGTGGGGGTGGAATATACTGAGCTAGACCACTTGCCTCCCTGGCTTCAGCCCCTTTCCAGGCGAGTGAACAGTTATGTCTCACTGGCATTCCAGGCGCCACTGGGGTATGAAAAAAAAACTCCTGCAGCTAGCTCGGTGTCTGCCCAAATGGCCGCCCAGTTTTGTGCTTGAAACCCAGGTCCCTGGTGGCATAGGCACCCAAGGGAATCTCCTGGTCTGCAGATTGCGAAGACTGTGGGAAAAGCATAGTATCTGGGCCAGAGTGCACCATTCCTCACGGCACGGTCCCTCAAGGCTTCCCTTGGTTAGGGGAGGGAGTTCCCCGACCCCTTGTGCTTCCTGGATGAGGCAACGCCCCACCCTGCTTCGGCTCACCCTCCGTGGGCTGCACCCACTGTCTAACCAGTCCCAATGAGATGAGCCGGGTACCTCAGTTGGAAATGCAGAAATTACCCACCTTCTGCATTGATTTCACTGGGAGCTGCAGACCAGAGCTGTTCCTATTCGGTCATCTTGCCAACCACCCTGAGATGTTGAATTTTATCAAATGCTTTTTTTATCAGATGCTTTCTCTGCATCTATTAAGGTGATCATGTGGCTTTTATTCTCTATTCTATTGATGGAATGTTTCATGTTTATTGATTTGCATGCATTGAATCATCATTGCATCCCTGGGATAAATCCCACTTGATCATGGTGTATTATCTTTTTGATGTGATGTTTGATTTGGTTTGCTAGTATTTCGTTGAGGATTTTTGCATCTGTGATCATCAGGGTTGTTGGCCTGCAGTTTTGTTTTTTTGTTGAGTCCTTATCAGGTTTTGGTATCAGGGTAATGCTGGCCTTATAGAATGAGTAGGGAGAATTCCCTCCTCTTGAATTTTTTGGCATAGTTTGAGAAGTGATATTAGTTCTTCTCTGTAAGTTTCATGGAGTTCTCCAGTGAAGCCAGCTGATTCTGGGCATTGTTTTGGTTTTGTTGGGAGACTTTATTACTGATTATACTTTATTACTGATTCAATCCCATTACTCATTACTGGCTTGTTCAGGTTTTCTATTTCTTTCTGATTCAGTCTTGGTAGGTTGCATGTGTCCTGGGATTTATCCATTTCTTCTGGGTTTTCAAGTTTATTAGCATATAGTTGTTAATAGTATTTCTATGGTCACTTCTTCCAATTTTTAGATTTGCTTTAATATGCAAGGACTTTTTCTTGAGGATATATCTATGGTGTTGGTTGGGCAGGGCACTTAGACTTTGATTATGGGTACATTCAGTAGTGTAGTCTGTATAATTTCTTCAGCTATAAACAGCATCATCAACCATGTCTGTATTTTTCTTAGTGGCTTAGGGTGTAGTTGTTATGGAGGCTGTGGTGAAGTTTTGATGGGCATGGGGATTTCAGGTGGGCTAGTCCTTGTTTTCGAGTGGTGTCACCAGTGGGTGAAGCATGCCTGTCCTTTGGCCCCAGGACAGTGTATTCATTAAGTTATATTACTTTTTTAAAAAAAGTTTATTTTATTCTACAATGGAAAACTTGACCTTTTCTACTTTTCCAATATTTTCAGATCTGGTAGCTCAGCGAGGAGAAAGATTGGAATTATTGATTGACAAAACAGAAAATCTTGTGGATTCTGTAAGTATGGAATCTGATAATATGGAGTCTGATGTAAAGTGGAGAAACTATGGATGATGGCTAACATAATTGGGAAATACCTTAAATTCAAATATTTGGTGGTTTTTTTTTCTTTCTCATTTCCATTATGTGATTACTTTGTAATAATGAGGATAACAATGAGGCATAGAAAAGAAACATCATCCCCTAATAGCCATTAAGGTAGCTTTGGTTTGGAAAACATACTCAGTATACAGAAACAATTTTCTAAAGCTTTGGATTGAGGCCTATATAATTTAGCACCTCAACTGCATGTAACAGTCTGTTCCCTTTACAAATTTGTAAAACATGAAACAAATGTGCAAGCCGTTTGTGACCCAGTATGAATCTTGAAAACTGGACAATTCACTTTTTTGCTTACACTGATAGTTTCATCTTGCCTTGTATCAATCAAGAGACATCGATTGGAAAGCGCCAATAAGCCTTAAAGGAGACAATGTGTCCTTGTGAGCTGCTTATACTATGGTTCCGTATGTCCTCACATTTTCAATGCAGTTACTGTGGATGAAAGTTTTAAGGAAAGATGACAGATATATGGTGAACAGAAGGAGGGCAGAGATCAGCTACAATTTGGGTCTACACAATTATAAATGTAAATGTACAGTGCAGGTTTACACCTTGAAAGAAAACAGTGATTGATTATGTTCGTTGTGACTGACAGCTGGATTGTAGTGGTTAAGAACACAGGCTCTAGTATCAGGTTGCCTGGATTTGAATCCCACCTCTGCTACTTACTAGTTGTGTGACCTTAGGCAAATGACTTAACCTCTTTGTGCCTCAGTCATCATCTTCTGTAAAATGAAGATGTACCCACTTCAGAGCATTTTAAGGATTAAATCAGATAATGCATGTAAAGTGCCTAACACAGTATTTGATACATAGTAAGAGCTATTTAAATGTTCATCATTATTGTTAATTTTACAGGGACATCTATTAGCAGCAGGTTTTAGTATATACAGTCTACTATCAGGTTTTCTAGGAGTTTATAAACAGTTTTTTCATCAAAGCATGTGGTAGGTGGAGGAAGGATGCTACCATACAGGAAGTCAAAACACCTGGGTTCTAGATCTCACTTTGTGACCCATTGCTGGGGAGCAAAGAAAACAGAGAAGTATCTGATTCCAGATCTGCAGACCAATTTCTTTGATACTTCCAGGCTGTCTCTTAGTTATTCTTAATTCTTGAGGATTACCCTGCTTAGGGGGAATGGTCTGTCTTTGACCAATAGTAGTATGATCTGTACTTTACAAATAAAAGTCTTAATTTTGTTGACTTCATGACTGAAAACAGAAGGTACTAATGAACTAACAGGTATCTCTCTTTATGGTAGAATAACATACGTGCAGCAAATTGTATCAAGTGTACAACTTTTAAGTGTATAGCTCAATTATTTTTTATATATATCTATACCCATGTAACCACCACCCAGATCTAGATAGAAAACATTACCAACACCCCAGAAGGCTGCCTCATACCCCTTCCAGTTAATAATCCCCAATAGACGTAATTATGTTTCTGACTTATATCACCACAGATAGTGTTTTGCCTGTTCTTAAAATTTATTTGTGTCTGGCCTCTTTCACTCACTGTTATGCCTGTGAAATTCATCCACGTTTTTTATTATAGTAATCACTTATTCTTTTTTATTGTTTTATATTATTCCATTATACAAATCTACCACAATTTGTTTATCCGTTCTTCTCTGTGGGGCTTTATTTCTGGATTCTCTATTTTGTTCCATTGGTCAGTTTGTCTACCTTTATGCCAGTACCACACTGTGTTGATTAGTATAACTTAATAGAATTCTTGAAATTAAGTAGTGTAAGTCTTCCAACTATATTCTTGTTGTCCAATATTGTCTTCACTCTTTTAGGTGCTTTGCATTTCCATATATGTTTTAGAATAAGCTTGTTTTCCATCTCTTGACCCCACAACAATGTGTATCTTTGTGACTGCATTTAATATATAGGTCACTTTAGGGGACATTGGTATCTTGACAGTATAGAGTTTTTCGGTCCATGAACGTGACATATCTCTGCTTTTGCTTAGGATTTAAAAATTTTTCTCAGCAGTATTTTTTAGTTTTTGGTGTACAGGTCTTGCACATATTTGTTAAATTTACCCTTGAGAATATCATGCTTTTGTATTGTGTAACAAATTTTTAAATTTTGTTTCTAATTCTTTATTGCTAGTATATGGAAATAAAGTTGGTTATTGTATATTGACCTTGTTTGTATTCTGCAACCTTAGAAAAATTCATTTACCAGTTCTGGTTACTGTTTTGTACATTCCTGCCTTTTATTTTCCTTCCCTTATTCTGGCTAGAACCTTCTACACAATACTGAATACAAGTGATAACAGTGAACATCCTTGCCTATTGACCATCTTGTGGGGAAAAATTCAATACTTTTTGAAAAAAATAAATTCAGTGTTAAGTTTGTGGTTAACTGTAGATTTTTTGTAGGTACCCTTTAATAGGTGGAAGAATTCCCTTTAATTCCTCATTTGAGAGTTGTATTCATGATTTTATCAAATGCTTTTTCTCCATTTATTGAGATCTTTGGTTTTTCTCCTTTATTCAGTTAGTATGGCAAATTACATTGATTTTTCAGTGTTAAACCAACTTTGCATTCCTGCAAGGTCATGACTTACTACCCTTCTTATATAACACTTTATTGGATTTGCTATTGTTTTGTTCAGGAATTTGGCATCTATGTTTATAAGAGATAGTGGTCTGTAATTTATTTTTCTCTTTAGGTTTTGGTATCAGGAATATGCTGGCCTCATTAAACAAGTTGGGAAATCTTACCTCTCTATCTTCTGAGTTTGGGTACTATTGGTATTATCTGTCTTAGATGTTTGGAAGAATTTACTAGTAAAGCAGATTGGGCCTCGAGTTTTCTTCGTTGGAAAATTTAAAATCTGCCATCTTGCTGTTTGTTTCCTATTTATACCATCTAGTCTTTGTTCCCTTTTTGTTCTGCCTTCCATTGGATTTAGTACATTTGTTATTCCATTATGTCTCCTTTGTCAGTTTATTAGCTATAGCTCCATTCTGTCATTTTCTGATTGCTTTAGGGTTTACAGTATGTCTTTGATTTATAATCTCCCTTAAAGTGGCATTTTTCCACTTCATGAATAGATAAGAACCTTATAATAGTATACTTCTAGCTGTTTCTTCTTGGCCTTTATGCTATTGTTGACATATTTTTATTTACACATGTATTAAAAACTTCATAATACATTGTTGTTGTTTTTGTTTAAAGAGTTGATTATCTTTTAAAGAGATTTAAATAATAAGGGAAGTCTTTTCTGTTTACCCATGCAGCTACCATTTCAGTGCTCTTAATTCTTTTGTGTAGGCCGAGTTTCTATCTGATGTTATTTTCTTTCTGCCTGTATGCTTTAATTTAACATATAATCTTCCATTGTAGTTCAAGTGTGTAGGTCTACTGGAAATGAATTCTTTCAGGTTTGGTATGTCTGAGAAGTTTTTATTTCACTTCCTTTTTTTTTTTGAAAGACATTTTCACTGAGTATAGAATTCTAGGTCAGTGATTTTTCTTTCTTTTAATACTTGATGAACGGTGGTTCATCACTGTCTTTTACATTGTTTCTGACAAGAATTCTGCTGTCATTCTTACATACATAAAGTGTATTTTTTTTTCTTCTGGATGCTTTAAAGATTTTCTCTTTATCATTGGTTTTAAGAAATTTGATTATAATATATATGCCTTGGTATATATTTCTTTATGTTTCTTTGGCTTTGAGTTTGTTGTAGTTTTCATCAAATTATGAAAATGTTTAGCTCTTTCTAGGCTTCCAGTGACATCTGTATTAAGCCACTTGAAGCTGTCCCACAACTCACTGATGCTTTGTTCATTTTTAAGTCTTTTTTCCACTATGTTTCATTTAGAATAGTTTCTATTGCTATGTCTTCAAGTTTACTTACCTTTTCTTCTGCAGTTCGCAATCTGCTGTTTCTGTCCTGTGTATGTTTCATCTTTACAGGTTTGTTTTGGATCTTTTTTATATCTTCCATGTGTCTCCTTAACATGTGCATACTTTCCTCTACCTTGAGTATATGAAGTATATTTATAATTGAAGTGCTTATTCCACTTACATGTAATGCAAATTTTGATAGAGTTAGGTGTAGGTATCTTGCTCTTTGTTTTTTATTTGCCGCATCCCTGTCCTCTTCTTTTTTATTTTGATTACTCAAGTACTTTTTAAATTGTTTTTTAACCATCTCTATTTGTTTTTTAACACTTCTATTGAGAGATAACTCACAGACCATACAAATTGCCCATTTAAAGGGTACACTTCAGTGGAATTTAGTATATTACATTATTAAAATTGTGGTAAAATATGTATAGCATAAAATTTTGCCATTTTAACCTTTTTAAAGTGCACAATTCAGTGATGTTAATTACATCCACAATGTTGTGCATCCATCACTACTAGCTATTTCCAAAACTTTTTTATCACCCCTTAACAAAAACTCTGTAACCATTAAGTAATAATAACTCCCCATTCCCCTTACTCTCAGCCCCTGGTAACTCTAATCTACTTTCTGTCTCTGAATTTGCCTGTTCTAGATATGTCATATAAGTGGGATCATACAAAATTTGCCCTTTTGTGTCTGGCTTATTTCACTAAGCATAATAGTTTATTGCTTAAAAAAAAATGCTAACAATCACCTGAGCCTTCAGTGAGCCTTAATCTTTTTGCTGGTGGAGGGTCTCACCTTGATGTTGATGGCTACTGACTGATCGATCAGGCTGGTGGTTGCTGAAGGTTGTGGTGGCTGTGGCAATTTCTTAAAATAAGACAACAGTGAAGTTTACCACATTGATTGACTCTTTCACAAAAGATTTCTCTGTAGCATGTGTTGCTATTTGATAGCAATTTACTGGCAATAGAACTTCTTTCAAAATTGGAGTCAATCCTCTCAAACCCTGCTACTGCTTTATCAGCTGAGTTGATGTAATTTTCTAAATCTTTTGTTGTCATTTCAACAGTGTTCACAGCATCTTCACCAGGAATAGTTGCCATCTCAAGAAACCACTTTCCTTGCCCATGCATAAGAAACAACTCCTCATTCATTAAAGTTTTATCAAGAAACTGCAGCAGTTCAGTCATGTCTTCAGGCTCCAGTTCTAATTCTAGTTCTCTTCTATTTCTACCACATCTGCAGTTACTCACTCCACTGAAGTCTTGAACCCCTCAAAGTAATTTGTGAGGGTTGTAATCAGTTTCTTCCAAACACCTGTTAATGTTTATATTTTGACTTCCTCCCACGAATCATGAATGTTCTTAATGGCATCTAGAATGGTGAATCCTTTCTAGAAGGTCTTCAGTTTACTTTGCCCAGATCCATCAGAGGAATCATTATCTATGGCAGCTATACTAAATGTTTTTCTTAAATAATAAGACTTGAAAGTTGAAATCACTCCTTGATTCATGGGCAGCAGAATGGATGTTGTATTAGCAGGTGTGAACCCCAAAAGTCTGAGACAGGTCTCAGTTGATTTAGAAAGTTTATTTTGCCAAAGTTGAGAGCGCACACCCGTGACACAGCCTCAGGAGGTCCTGACAACATGTGCCCAAGGTGGTCAAAGCCCAGTTTGGTTTTATACATTCTAGGGAGACGTGAGACATCAGTCAACATATGCAAGATGAACATTGGTTTGGCCTGGAAAGGCGGAACAACTCGAAGCAAAGGCGGGAAGGCTCGAAGTGGGGAGGGGGCCTCCAGGTCTTAGATAGATAAGAGACAAATGGTTCTATTCTTTTGAGTTTCTGATGAGCCTCTCCAAAGGAGGCAATCAGATACGCATTTATCTCAGTGAGCAGAGGGGTGACTTTGAATAGAATGGGAGGCAGGTTGGCCATAAGCAGTTCCCAGCTTGACTTTTCCCTTTAGCTTAGTGATTTGGAGGCCCCAAGATTTATTTTCCTTTCACACAGGCATGAAAACGACATTTATCTCCTCGTAAGTCTCCATCAGAGCTCTTGAGTGACTAGGTTCATTGTCAATGAGCAGTAATACTTTGAAAGGAATCTTTTCTTTTTGAGCAGCAGATCTCCACAGATCTTCTGTACACCATCCTGTAAACAGATGTGCTATCTTCCAGGTTTGTTGTTCCATTTCAAGAGCACAGGCAGAGTATATTTAGCATAATTCTTACGGGCCCTAGATTTTCAGAATGGTAAATTACCATTGGCTTCAGCTTAAAGTCATCAGCTGCATTGGTCCCTAATAAAAGTCAGCTTATCCTTTGAAGCTTTGAAGCCAGTCATTGGCTTCTCTCTATGAAAGTCCTAGATGGCATCTTCTTCCAAAAGAAGGGTGTTTTGTTTACATTGAAAAATCTGTTGTTTAGTATAGCCACCTTTATCAATGATCTTAGCTAGGTCTCCTGGATAACTTACTGTGGCTTCTCTCTCAGCACTTGCTGCTTCACCTTGTACTTTTATGTTATAGAGATGGCTTCTTTCCTTAAACCTCATGAACCAACTTCTGCTAGCTTTAAACTTTTCTTCTGCACCTTCCTCGCCTCTCTCAGCCTTCATAGAGTTGAAGAGTTAGGGCCTTGCTCTGTATTAGGCTTTGGCCTAAGGAAATGTTATAGCTGGTTTAATCTTCTATCCAGACCCCTAAAACATTCTCCATATCAGCAGTAAGTCTGTTTTGCTTTCTTATATGTGTGTTCACTGGAGTAGCACTCCTGATTTCCTTCAAGAACTGTTCTTTGCATTCACAATTTGGTTAACTGTTTGTCACAGGACACCTAGCTTTAGGCCCATCTCAGCTTTCGACATGCCTTACTCACTAAGCTTAATTATTTTTATCTTTTGATTTAAAGCAAGGGATGTGTGACTTTTCCTTTCACTTGAATACATAGATGCCATTGTAAGGTTATTAATTGGCCAAATTTCAATATTGTGTCTCGGCAAATAGGGAGGCCTGAGAGGGAGAGAGATAAGAGAATAGCTGGTCAGTGAACAGTTAGAACACACAACATTTATCCGTTAGCTCCGTCACCTTATATAGGCACAGTTTATGGCACCCGAAAACAATCACAATAGTAACATCAGAGGTCACAGATCGTCATAACAGATAGAATGAAAATAATGAAAAGTTTGAAATGTTATAAGAATTACCAAAACACAGACATGAGGCGACCACATGCTGTTAGAAAAATGGTGCTGCCGCATGTTCTCACTCCTAAGTGGGAGTTGAACAATGAGAACACATGGACACAGTGAGGGGAACATCACACACTGGGGCCTGTCGGGGAGTGGGGGCTAGGGGAGGGATAGCATTAGGAGAAATACCTAATGTAGATAACGGGTTGATGGGTACAGCAAACCACCATGTCACGTGTATACCTGTGTAAGAAACCTGCACGTTCTGCACATGTATCCTAGAACTTAAAGTATAATAATAATAATAAAAAGAAACAAAAAGTGCAGGCCAAGCAGGAAAAAAAAAAAACAAACCAGAAAAATGGTGCTGATAGTCTCATCATGGGGTTTCCACAGACCTTCGATTTGCCAAAAAAAAAAAAAAAAAAAAAAAAAAATCCATGAAGTGCGATAATGTGAAGTACAATAAAAGGGGATATGCCTGTAATTCTTTCTGTGTCCTTTATTGTTTTCCTGCAGTTCTGTTTCAGTGTACGATTTTGTTTGCTTCAAACTGAAGAAGTTCTTTTATTGTTTCTTATAATGTTGATCTACTGATGAGAGATTCTCTAAGCTTTTGTCTGAAAATCTGTTTCATCATTTTTTTAAAGAATACTTTCTTTGCATAGAGTTTTTTAGTTTTTCACAATGGCAGTTTTTTTTTTTTTTTAAAGTGAGTGCTTTAAAAATGCCATTCCATTTTTCTTTGGCTTTCATATGTTCTCAAAGAGATTGTCATTTCTCTTAGTCTTACTTGAAAAATAATGATTCTTACCCCACCTTTGGCTTTTGTTGTTGTTGTTGTTGTTGTTTGTTTTGTTTTTTTAAGACAGAGTCTCTCTCTCTCACCCAGGCTGGAGTGCAGTGGCACGATCACAGCTTACTGTTGCCTCCACCTCCCAGGCTCAAGTGATCCTCCTGCCTTGCCTCAGCCTCCCAAGTAGGAGGACCACAGGCATGCGCCATCACACTTAGCTAATTTTTTAAATTTTTCTTAGAGACGGGTCTCCCTATGTTGCTCTGGCTGGTCTCAAATGCCCAGGCTCAAGTGATCCTCCCACCTTGGCTTCCCAAAGTGCTGGAAATACAGGCATGAGCCACCACACCTGGCCCCCTTTGGCTGGTTTTAAGAGTGTCTTTTTATATTTGGTTTTCAACTTTTTATATATGGTTATTAGCTTTCTGTGGCTGCTATCACAAATTATCACAAACTTGGTGGCTTAAAACAACAAAAATTTATTTTCTCCCACTACTGGATTTCAGAAGTTCAAAATCAGTTTAACTGGGCTGAAATTAAGGTGTTAGCAAGGCTACACTCCTTCCAGAGGCTCTAGGAGAGGATCTGTTCCATGCCTCTTCCAGCTTCAGGTGGCTGCCAGTATTTCTTGGCTTGTGGCTATATCATTGTAGTCTCTGCCTCCATGTTCACATTACCTTCTCCTTTGCATGTGTGTCAAGCCTCCATCTACTTTCCTCCTATAGAGACATTTGTGATGTCATTTAGGGCTCACATGGATAATCCAGGATACTCTCTTCATCTCAAGATTCTTGACATAATCACATCTGTAAAGACCCCTTTTCCAGATAATATCACATATGTCACATTCATAGGGATTAGGACACAGGCATGTCTTAGGGCAACATTTAACAATTGTTCTTTATAGGTGAACTTGTTTTAAACAGATGGTTTGTCAGTGTTCAGATGTTGACCTGAGAGTGGTGGAGGAATCTCCATTACAACCTGTTGAATCACACAGCTATGTTCGGATTTATTAGTTTCATTCCTCACTGCTTTTTCTCATCTACATCATCTTTCTCTTTCTTGAATTATTTATTGTGAATTAGTCTTTGTTTGTAGTATATCCTCACACATTTTCTTCATATGAGTTTGTGGATGATAATCCCTTCAAGAATAAAAGTGTTATTTTGGTCTCATATTTGAACAATTTTTTGACTGGTGTAGAATTCTAGGGTTAAGATCATTTTCTCTCAAAATTCTCTGAATATTGCTGCATTTCAGTGCATGAAGAATTTAGGCATCTGAGAAGTTCAACAACTATACAGTTTACACGTTTTTTATTTGGGCCAAGTTTGAGGACTGCAACCCAGGAGCATAGATTCAAGTTGCTCTGAATATATGTTCTAATTAGCAGCAGTTACAAGTAGGTTTTTAAAGGAAAAAAGGAGAGGCAGTATCTAATTTGTTTACCAAGAATTTACATTAAAATAGCATAAGCTATTGATTGCTATACATTGTCCTTTGTATCACAAATTCCAGGAACATGAAGATAATGGTTGAGGCAGCTAGTCAGCAACAAATTGCCTTTAAACAGTTGCCCCCCCTGGGCATTGTGTGGGGGGTGTGACTGAAGTCCCCATACTCATGTCTTCTGGGCCTGATAAATTTTATATACCTCACATAGCTCAGGCTGCTCTGAGCTGTTTTTCTTTTCTCATTTCCCCCTTTTGATCAAAATTTTTCTCTTCTGAAAGCATTGATGATCAGCATTTTAGATATAAGTTTATCCCATGTCACTGGGGAGGCTTATTCCCAGATATTCTTGTCCCGTGTTGGATGGAAAGACGTAAAAAAGGTACCATGGCTTAAAGAACTTAGTGAGGTCTCAAGGCCAAATTGATTGGCAACACAGAGGAGCAGAGCAACAGGATCTCAGTCAAGCCATCCACTCACGCTGGAGCCATGGCATGAACAACTATACAGTTTACTCAAGTCCACCCTCACTTAATGGCACCAACTGCAAGTTTGGGGATTCCCCAAACCACCCTCAGATTTGATAGTTCATTAGAAGGATTTATAATACTCTGTGAGCACTATTATACTCACAGTTATGGTTTATTACAGGCAAATTATACATA
This sequence comes from Homo sapiens, assembly GCF_000001405.40. Lineage (NCBI taxonomy): Eukaryota > Metazoa > Chordata > Mammalia > Primates > Hominidae > Homo > Homo sapiens. The sequence goes on from NC_000024.10 coordinate 57,116,508, forward strand.
GTAAGACCAGCCAAGGGAAAAAGTACATAGGGTGGAGTTTGGGAAGATACCAAATGTAGAGCTTTTGTTGTCCTCTTCCCATGGAGTCAGGACACGTTGCTCTCTTGGCATCAGTGTGTGACAAAATGTGCAGAGCATTGCCTAACAGGAAAGCTTACCCAAGCCTTAGTGTTCAGAGTTTTTATTGGGGTTTCATTATGTAGGCATTATTGACTGACTGCCCTCTGGCTTGATCTCAGTCTCCAGCTCCACTTGGTGTGATCCAAAGCCTCCTAAATCACATAGTCATTTTTTCTGGAGTGTCTTTTCCCCACCCTAAATCACATTGTTACTATCTAGATTACAGTCTATTAGAAAAATAAATCAAGGCTGTGCATGGTAGCTCATACCTATAATCCTAATACTTATACTTTGGGAGGCCAAAGCTGAAAGATCTCTAAAATCCAGAAGTTCAAGACCAGCCTAGGCAACAAAGTGAGACCTTATCTCTACAAAACCAAACAAAAAAAAAAAAAAAATAGGTGTGATTGGGTGCACCTGTAGTCCTAGCTACTTGGGGGGCTGAAGATGGAGAATTGCTTGAACCCAGGAATTCAGAGCTGCAGAGAGCTATGATCACACCACTGCATTCCAGGCTGGGTTACAGAGGGGTGACCTCCATCTCAAAAAAAAAAAAATTTTTTTTCTTTTAATTCTTTTTTATTTTTTATTTTTTTTATAAATATATATATTTTTTATTATACTTTAAGTTCTAGGGTACATGTGCACAACGTGCAGGTTTGTTACATATGTAAACATGTGCCGTGTTGGTGTGCTGCACCCATTAACTCATCATTTACATTAGGTATATCTCCAAATGCTATCCCTTCCCCCTCCCACCACCCCACAACAGGCCCCGGTGTGTGATGTTCCCCTTCCTGTGTCCAGGTGTTCTCATTGTTCAGTTCCCACCTATGAGTGAGAACATGTGGTGTTTGGTTTTTTGTCCTTGCAGTAGTTTGCTGAGAATGATGGTTTCCAGCTTCATCCATGTCCCTGCAAAGGACATGAACTCATCCTTTTTTACGGCTGCGTAGTATTTCATAGTGTATACGTGCCACATTTTCTGAATCCAGTCTATCATTGTTGGACATTTGGGTTGGTTCCAGGTCTTTGCTATTGTGAATAGTGCCACGATAAACATACGTGTGCATGTGTCTTGATAGCAGCATGATTTATAATCCTTTGGGTATATACCCAGTAATGGGATGGCTGGGTCAAATGGTATTTCTACTTCTAGATCCCTGAGGAATCGCCACACTGTCTTTCACAGTGGTTGAACTAGTTTACAGTCCCACCAACAGTGTAAAAGTGTTCCTGTTTCTCCACATCCTCTCCAGCACCTGTTGTTTCCTGACTTTTTAATGATCGCCATTCTAACTGGTGTGAGATGGTATCTCATTGTGGTTTTGATTTGCATTTCTCTGATGGCCAGTGATGATGAGCATTTTTTCATGTGTCTGTTGGCTGCATAAATGCCATCTTTTGAGAAGTGTCTGTTCATATCCTTCACCCACTTGTTGATGGGGTTGTTTGTTTCTTTTCTTATAAATTTGTTTGAGTTCTTTGTAGAATCTGGATATTAGCCCTTTGTCAGATGAGTAGATTGCAAAACTTTTCTCCCACTCTGTAGGTTGCCTGTTCACTCTGATGGTAGTTTCTTTTGCTGTGCAGAAGCTCCTTAATTAGATCCCATTTGTCAATTTTGGCTTTTGTTTCCATTGTTTTTGGTGTTTTAGATATGAAGTCCATGCCCATGCCTATGTCCTCAATGGTATTACCTAGGTTTTCTTCTAGGGTTTTTATGGTTTTAGGTCTAACATTTAAGTCTTTAATCCATCTTGAATTAATTTTAGTATAAGGTGTAAGGAAGGGATCCAGTTTCAGCTTTCTCCATATGGCTAGCCAGTTTTCCCAGCACCATTTGTTAAATAGGGAATCCTTTCCCCATTTCTTCTTTTTGTCAGGTTTGTCAAAGATGACATGGTTGTAGATGTGTGGTATTACTTCTGAGGGCTCTGTTCTGTTCCATTGGTCTATATCTCTGTTTTGGTACCAGTACCATGCTGTTTTGGTTACTGTAGCCTTGCAGTATAGTTTGAAGTCAGGTAGCATGATGCCTACAGTTTTGTTCTTTTGGCTTAGGATTGACTTGGCAATGCAGGCTCTTTTTTGGCTCCACATGAACTTTAAAGTAGTTTTTTCCAATTCAGTGAAGAAAGTCATTGGTAGCTTGATAGGGATGGCATTGAATCTATAAATTACCTTGGGCAGTATGGCCATTTTCATGATATTGATTCTTCCTATCCATGAGCATGGAATGTTCTTCCATTTGTTTGTGTCCTCTTTTATTTCGCTGAACAGTAGTTTGTAGTTCTCCTTGAAGAGGTCCTTCACATCCCTTGTAAGTTGGATTCCTAGGTATTTTATTCTCTTTGAAGCAATTGTGAATGGGAGTTCACTCATGATTTGGCTCTCTGTTTGTCTGTTATTGGTGTATAAGAATGCTTGTGATTTTTGCACGTTGATTTCGTATCAAGACTTTGCTGGAGTTGCTTATCAGCTTAAGGAGATTTTGGGCTGAGATAATGGGGTTTTCTAGATATACAATCATGTCATCTGCAAACAGGGACAATTTGATTTCCTCTTTTCATAATTGAATACCCTTTATGTCTTTCTCTTGCCTGATTGCCCTGGCCAGAACTTCCAACACTATGTTGAATAGGAGTGGTGAGAGAGGGCATCCCTATCTTGTGCCAGTTTTCAAAGGGAATGCTTCCGGTTTTTGCCCATTCAGTATGATATTGGCTGTGGGTTTGTCATAGCTCTTATTATTTTGAAATACGTCCCATCAATACCTAATTTATTGAGAGTTTTTAGCATGAAGGGCTGTTGAATTTTGTCAAAGGCCTTTTCTGCATCTATTGAGATGATCGTGTGTTTTTTGTCTTTGGTTCTGTTTATATGCTGGATTACATTTATTGATTTGTATATGTTGAACCAGCCTTGCATCCCAGGGATGAAGCCCACTTGATCATGGTAGATAAGCTTTTTGATGTGCTGCTGGATTCGATTTGCCAGTATTTTATTGAAGATTTTTGCGTCGGTGTTCATTAGGGATATTGGTCTAAAATTCTCTTTTTGTGTTGTGTCTCTGCCAGGCTTAGGTATCAGGATGATGCTGGCCTCATAAAATGAGTTAGGGAGGATTCCCTCATTTTCTATTGATAGGAATAGTTTCAGAAGGAATGGTGTCAGCTCCTCCTTGTACCTCTGGTAGAATTCGGCTGTGAATCCATCTGGTCCTGGACTTTTTTTGGTTGGTAAGCTATTAATTATTGCCTCAATTTCAGAGCCTGTTATTGGTCTATTCAGAGATTCAACTTCTTCCTGGTTTAGTCTTGGGAGGGTGTATGTGTCAAGGAATTTATCCATTTCTTCTAGATTTTCTAGTTTATTTGTGTAGAGGTGTTTGTAGTATTCTCTGATGGTAGTTTGTATTTCTGTGGGATCGGTGGTGATATCCCCTTTTATCATTTTTTATTGCGTCTATTTGATTCTTCTCTCTTTTCTTCTTTATTAGTCTTGCTAGCAGTCTATCAATTTTGTTGATCTTTTCAAAAAACCAGCTCCTGGATTCATTGATTTCTTGAAGGGTTTTTTGTGTCTCTATCTCGTTCAGTTCTGCTCTGAGTTATTTCTTGCCTTCTGCTAGCTTTTGAATGTGTTTGCTCTTGTTCCTCTAGTTCTTTTAATTGTGATGTTAGGGTGTCAATTTTATATCTTTCCTGCTTCCTTTTGTGGGCATTTAGTGCTATAAATTTCCCTCTACACACTGCTTTAAATGTGTCCCAGAGATTCTGGTATGTTGTGTCTTTGTTCTCATTGGTTTCAAAGAACATGTTTATTTCTGCATTCATTTCGTTATGTACCCAGTAGTCATTCAGGAGCAGGTTGTTCAGTCTCCATGTAGCTGAGCAGTTTTGAGTGAGTTTCTTAATCTTGAGTTCTAATTTGATTTCACTGTGGTCTGAGAGACAGTTTGTTATAATTTCTGTTCTTTTACATTTGCTGAGGAGTGCTTTACTTCCAACTATGTGGTCAATTTTGGAATAAGTGCGATGTGGTGCTGAGAAGAATGTATATTCTGTTGATTTGGGGTGGAGAGTTCTGTAGATGTCTGTTAGGTCCGCTTGGTGCAGAGCTGAGTTCAATTCCTGGATATCCTTGTTAACTTTCTGTCTCATTGATCTGTCTAATGTTGACAGTGGGGTGTTAAAGTCTCCCTTTATTATTGTATGGGAGTCTAAGTCTCTTTGTAGGTCTCTAAGGACTTGCTTTATGAATCTGGGTCCTCCTGTATTGGGTGCATAAATATTTAGGATAGTTAGCTCTTCTTGTTGAATTGATCCCTTTACCATTATGTAATGGCCTTCTTTGTCTCTTTTGATCCTTGCTAGTTTAAAGTCTGTTTTATCAGAGACTAGGATTGCAACCCCTGCCTTTTTTTGTTTTCCATTTGCTTGGTAGATCTTCCTGCATCCCTTTATTTTGAGCCTATGTGTGTCTCTGCACATGAGATGGATTTCCTGAATACAGCACACTGATGGGTCTTTACTCTTTATCTAATTTGCCAGTCTGTGTCTTTTAATTGGAGCATTTAGCCCATTTACATTTAAGGTTGATACTGTTATGTGTGAATTTGATCCTGTCATTATGATGCTAGCTGGTTATTTTGCTCGTTAGTTGATGCAGTTTCTTCCTAGCCTTGATGGTCTTTACAATTTGGCATGTTTTTCCAGTGGCTGGTATGTGTTGTTCCTTTCCATGTTTAGTGCTTCCTTCAGGAGCTCTTGTAAGGCAGGCCTGGTGGTGACAAAATCTCTCAGCATTTGCTTGTCTGTAAAGGATTTTATTTTTCCTTCACCTATGAAGCTTAGTTTGGCTGGATATGAAATTCTGG